>NW_018654726.1:0-209722 GCF_000001405.40 Homo sapiens | reverse complement strand
CCAAGATAATTGAGGAGTGCTCCCTCACAATGGGAAACACTTGCTCTATTGTGAACTGAATTACAGGTAAATTCAAGGGGCCCTGCCAACAGAACTGCTGGTGTCTCTCCCTGGGTTGGCCACAGGTCAAACAGTCAAAGATGTACATTATTGGGTGAGGTGTGCTCCTCTTCTTTCTAGTAGAGTGGCTGTTTTTTTTGCATGTGTAGGAGATTTGGACCATGGCAGGTAAGAGCCAGCCTCCCAAATCACTGTGGATTCTTGATCCACATAAAAATAAAGAACACAGGGACCTACAGCCCAAGCAAAGACACACAGGCCACCAAAAGGATGGGAAACAAAAAAAAGTGCTGCAGTGCATTAGCCTAATTCACTTGCACAGACTCCACTTAAATGCACACACACACATACACACACACACAAAGCCACACACACAGAGACAACCAAACTCACAACACTCCCACAGAAACTACAGCCCTGCAGGTCCTGAGGCTGCATGGTTCTGCAGGAATCCCCACCTGGGAGAGAACAACCCCAGGCAACACAGGTGGGCTGTACCAAGAAATCACAGTGGGGGCAAGTTTCAAAAAGACTCAACCCTACTATGTCTAGGGAGGCCTGAGGCATCCTGCAGATTCTTCTGGATCCTTAGGGATTTTGCAGATTATTCCTGGGGCTATGTTTGATCTTTCTTCATGATGGCTTGTGTCTGCCCTCTCCTAGGATAACCAGAACATCCTGTGGATCCCACAGAGAAGACAGGTGAAAGTGTACTTCCAGTACACATCTACGGTGGCCTCCTTCTCCACCAAGCCCCAGGGACTTGTTGCTAGGCAACACTGTCATTCATTGTGACGCTTGCCAGAGCTCACAACTCTGGCCTGGTGACAGGACACTAGCACATTTGCATTCGTGTCACAGGCTTGGGGGTCCAGCTCTCAGAGCTGTCAGCCTGTCTAAGCAGAGAAAAATGGTACAGGCAGAGCTGGCCTGGTGCTGGGAAAATGGCTGCCTGAGATAACCCACTGAGAGACCCTAAAATTCTCACCCTTAGGTCTTTTTCAAGCCATCTTCTTGGTCGGGTTTCACTAGAGGTGGAGCCAATTTGAGACTGTGGCCTGGTCACTGGAAACTGCACTTCTAACTCCATTCCTGAAAGAGGCTGTGAGCAGGAATCGGGTCCCATAACAATTGGAATATAGTCTGGTGAGTCGTTGAGGGGTCTCTGGGTGATAGAATCATACCTGAGACTGCAGAGGCAGGTGTCAACAAAACATGTCTGTGCCCTGGACGTCACTGCCTGCCTTCATCCTGGGCCTCACAGGTGCTCTCTGGGAAAGGCAGGAACCACGACAAAGGCAAGTATATGGTGGAGTAGTGTTCTCACACCACGAACTGGCCTCTCATGGGTGCAGATGAGGTTGAGACAGTGTCTCAGAGGCCATTTGTTGTGACCGTAAGCCTGAAAAGGGTGTGCAGTAATACTCTTTAGGGGCAATGTGTACTCTCCATGAAAATGAGAAAAAATCAAAGCTCCTGTGAGAGAATCAGCTGAATTGTGTTGAAGTCCAAGCAATGCTGAAACACTACTTTCAGAGGACCCAAATCCATCTGCAAAGTGCAGACAACCTCAATCCCCAAGACGAGACCACAACCCACAACCTGGAGTGAAGTCAGCCTACCTGAAGTCTCTTTTGCTCTCTGAAATCTCCAGCAAGGATCTGTGGTGAGAGACAGTCCCATACAGCAACAGCCCAATGAAACACCCACTCCTCAGTGAGAAAGGACATGCAAGCACAATGAAACAGAGTCTAAATTACCAGGCAAAAGCCAGACATGGCTACCTGCTTTTCATCCTACAGGAATCATGCAGCCCTCACATAGAAGTGGGAGAATAAGAGTTTTCTTGTTGGTGGCTTTAACAGGAATTTACAGTTTTAAAATATCTCAGATGTGCAGTCATTAAAACATGACGGTGTTTAGAAGGAAACACTCACACAATTGATTCTCATGAGGGTCGTCCTCTGTGAACTAGGAAATATTTAGTGTGGACGGTATTGACCAGATCCAGGATGAGGATCATGAAAGTAAGGAAAAGAAGAGGCAAGTGTAGGGGTCACATCCCACCCAGCAACTATCCATCTTGCTTTCATCTGGCTCCTGTTATCAAAGCCCTCAAATCAGGAGTTTGCCAGGATGGTCCCAGTTTGCACTGCACATGTTCCATGCACGTTGAAGTACTCCCACCTCAACACTGGGTCATCATGTGGACTGCTTGTACAGTTAAGAGAATGAAAGGATGCAGTTGGAAGTAACTTCTGTGTCAACTGTCTTCACCATTTTTCAGGTGAAGGTGCAGGACCCCATCCACCCCTCACCAGATTGTATCCACACACCTAACTGACCTTATTGCTGTTCACACTCTCTGTCCCAGAACGAAGATGACAGAGGACTGTCCCCTCATGATGTGAAGCTCCTACTCAACCGATAACCAAATGTGATGTAAATTCAATGGGGTCTGCAGACAGGAATGCTAGTATCCCTCCTTGGGTTGGCCACAGGACAATGAAACACTAGATGTCTGTTTATGGGTGTGGTGTGCTCCTCTTCTTTCTGGAAGAGTGGCTTCTTTTGCAGGGGGAGGTGATTTGGATCCCAGCTGGTCTCAGTCAAACTCCCAATTCACTATAAGTTCATGACCCACAGAAGAATGAATAAAAAACACGGAGCCATATAGCCCAAGCAGAGCCACAGAGACAGCCCACCAAAAGCTTGGAGGAATAAAAAAACAAAAAATACAAAAAGCAGCTCTGCAGCGTGTTAGCCACATTTTTTTAAGCGGACTCCACTTATAGGCATACAGACAGAGACAGAGACACAGATACACCCACCCACACACACACACACAGCCACACACAGGCAGATACCCAACAATTGCAACACTCTCACAGAATCACACAGCCCAGTAGCTTCTGAGGCTGCATGGTTCTGCAGACAGCCCCACTTGGGAGACAGCATCTTTGGGAATACAGGAGGGCTGTACCAATAAATCACAGTAGGGCAAATTTCGAAAAGACTCACCCCTACAACATCTAGGCAGGTCTGAGGCATCATGCAGATCCTTTTAGATCCTTAGGGATTTCGTGATTTATTCCTTGGGCTCTGCTTGAGGTTTCTTCAGGCTGCTCACGTCTGACCTCTCTTAGGAACATGGGACTATCCCATGGATCCCACAGATAAGGCAGGCAAGAGACCACTGCCGACGCACCTCCACCAAGGTGTCCTTCTAAGTCGAGCCACAGGGACTTGTGGCTAGGGAACGGAGGCATTTATTGGGATGTTAACCACAGCTCACAGCTCAGGCCCCGTGCCCTAAGACTAGCGCATGCGCATTCGCGATGGAGGCGCCCACGCTAGGCTGTCAGAGATGTCAGCCTGCCTATGCAGAGGAAAATGGTACCGGCAGAGCCTGCCTGATATCGGGAAAAAGTCCGCCTACGAAAACCCACTGGGAAACCCTGAAAGTCTTGATCTTAGGGCCCCTTCGAGTCATCTCTGTGGTCGGGTCACGCTGGAGGTCAAGGCAATTCACGACTGTGAGGTCGTTGCTGATAACTGCTTTTCTGACTCCATTCTTGAAAGAAGCTGTGTGCAAGACTCAGGTCCATGGTGATTGGAATATAGTGTGGTGTGTTGTTGAGGGTTCTTTGGGAGATAGAATCATACTTGAGACCCCAGAGGCAGTTGTAGTGTCGAAATATGGCCAGGCTGTTGACTTCACTGCCTCCCTTCATCCTGGGCCTCACAGGGGCTCTCTGGGAAAGGCAGGAACCAGGACAAAGGCAAGTCCAAAGTGGATCAGTGTTCTCACCCCTCGGACTGGCCTCTCACAGGTGCAGATGAGGTTGAGACAATGTCTCAGAGGCCATCTGTGGTGATAGGGATGTCCAGTAGTGCTGTTGAGGGGCACTGAGGATTTCCTATGAGAGCAAAGAGAAATCAAAGCTTGCCTAAGAGAATGAGCTGCCTTGTGCTGGAGTCCAAGCAATGTTCAATGATTTCTGTGAGAGGACCCAACAACCTCCTGCTAAGTGCAAACAACCTCAGCAACCACAATAAGAGAACAACCCACAAACTGGAGTGCAGCCAGCCTACCTGAAGTGCCTCTTGCTCTCTGCAATCACTTTCAGCTGAATAATCTGTGATGAGACGCAGTCCCATCCAGTTCCAAAGAAAGAACCCCTCCACAATGAGAAGGCCATGTAGATGAAATAAAACAGGGGCTAGATTACCAGGCAAAAGCCAGTCATGGCTGCCTGCCTCTCATCCTACAGGAACCATGCAGCCATTTGATAGAAGTGAGAAAACAAAGAGTTTCCTTGTTTGTGGCTGTAGTGAGAATTTATGGTTTTAAAAGTGTCAAAGCAGCCCAATCATTAAAACGTGACAGTGTTAAGAAGAACACACTCACACAATGGATTCCCATCAGGCATGTTGTCCATGAAGTTGGAAACATTTAGTGCGGAAGTCATTGAGCCAGACCCAGGAAACCCTAGGCCAATGAGGAACATGGAAGTAAAGAAAAGAAGAGGCAAGTCTGGAGGCCATATCCCACCCAACATCAACACATTCCACTCCCATTTGGCTCTGGGTATGAAAGCCCTCAAATGGGGAATTTGACAGGATGGCCTCATTTTGGACTCCAAATGTGGCTTGCACGTTGGAGTACTCCCACCTGAACACCAAGCCAAGATGTGGACGGCTTGTGTAATTAAGGGAATGCAAGGATGGAGTTGGAAGCACCTTTTATGTCATCTGTTTTCATTTTTGTTTTGCAGGTGAAGTTGCAGGACCCAACCTTCCCCTCAAGAGGTTGTATGATTGTATTCTCACCTCTGTCTTACCTTATTGCTGCTCACACTCTATTTCCCAGGATGAAATCCCAAGACGATTGAGGAGTGCCCCCTCAGAACTTGAAGGAACTGCTCAGCTGGGAACTGAATTCTAGGTAAATTCAATAGGCTCTGCAGGCAGGACAGCTAATGTCTCTCCCTGGGTTAGCTGCCGGACAGTGAAACACTGGGAAATGTCTGTGTGTGTGTGTGTGTGTGTGTGTGTGTGTGTGTGTGTGTTATGCTCCTTTTCTTTCTAGAAGGGTGGCTTTTTTTTTCAGGTGGAGGTGATTTAGTGCATCTTGGCACTCCTCCTAATTCACTGTGGATTGAAGATCCACAGAAAATCAAAGAACACTGAGCACCTCAGCCCTAGCAGAGCCATACGCAGGCCACCAAAAGGTTTGGAGACTCAAAAAAAGAAAGATTGAAGTGCATTATCCACATTACTTTAAGCCGATTCCACTTACAGGCACACACACATGCACACACAAACACACAATGACACAGACACATGCAGGCATCTGACACTCACAACACTCCCACAGAAACACCCAGCCCGGCAGCTCCTGAGGCTGCATGGTTCTGCAGGAAGCCACACCCAGGAGAGAGCAACCCCAAGGAACACAGGTGGGCTGTACCTACAAATCACAGTGGGAGAAGGTTCAAAAAGACTCACCCCTACATTGTCTAGCAGACCTGAGCAATCCTGCAGAGATTTTTGGATCCTTACAGATTTCACTGCTTATTGCTGGGGCTGTGCTTGACATTTCTTCAGGCTGGCTCACTTCTGTCCCCTCCTAGCGTCATGGGAATATCCCTTGCATCCCACAGAGAAGACAGGTGAGAGTCCACCACCTATGCACCCCCATGGGGGTCTCCTTCACTGTTAAGCTGCAGGGACTAGTTGCTATGCAATGGTGACATTCATTATGGCACTAGCCAGAGCTCACAATCACGGCTGGTGACCTGAGACTAGCCCATGCACATTCCTGAGGCAGGCAAGCAGAGGAAAATGGTACAGGCCAAGCCGGCATGATGTCGGGAAAAAGGCTCCCTGTAAAAACCCGCTGTAGGACCCTAGAAATCTCCACCTCAGGGCCACTTCAGGTTGTGTACGTGGACCGGTCCCACTGGAGGAGGAGGCGTTTTGAGACTGTGAGGTAGTTGCTGGAAACTGCTCTTCTGACTCCATGCCCAAAAGAGGCTGTGTGCAAGAATGGAATCCCTTGGGGATTGGGACATACTCTGTTGTGTCATTAAGGGTTCTTTAGGTGATAGAATCATACCTGAGATCCTAGAGGTGGGTGTCAGTGAAAGACGGCCAGGCTCATGACCTCACTTTCTCCCTTCATCCTGGGACTTGCAGGGCTATCTGGGAAAGGCAGAAACCATGACAAAGGCAAGTCCACGGTGAAGCAGTTTTCTCACACCTCGGATTAGCCTCTCACAGGTGCAGTTGAGGTTGAGACAGTGTCTCAGAGGCCGCCTGTTGTGATGGGGATGTCCAGTAGTGCTGTTGGGGGGCACAGTGGATTCCTCATGAAGGCAAAGAAAAATCAAAGCTCGCCTGAGAGAACAAGACACCTTGTATTTGAGTCTAAGCAATGTACAAAGATTCCTGTCAGAGGACCGTAAAGCTTCCTGCAAAGTGCAAACAACTTCAACTCCCATAACGAGAGAACGACACCCAACCTGGAGCACAGCCAGCTTACCCAACGTCTCTTTTGCTCTCTGAAATCTGTGGCAGCTACATAATCTGTAGCAAGAAACAGTCCCATCCTGCAATATCTCAATGAAAGAGCCCCTTCACAATGAGAAACCTGTGCAGATGAAATGAAAGAGAGACTAGATTACCAGGAAAAAGCCAAACACAGCTGCCTGCTTCTCATAATAAAGTAATCATCCAGCCCTCCGAAAGAAGCAGGAGAACAAGACTTTCCTTGTTGGCAGCTGAAATGGGACTTTACAGTATTAAAATTATCAAAGCTGCCCAGTCATTAAAATGCGACAGTGTTTAGAAGGAAGCACTTTTGCAATGGATTCCTATGAGGGTCATTCTCTGTGAATTGGGAAGAGTTTAGTGTGCAAGTCCTTGAGCCAGACACAGGAAACCCTAGGCTGACTGGGAAAATGGAAGTCAGGAAAAGAAGAGGTAAGTGTGGAGGCCACATGAAACCCAGCATCAATCCATTCCAATCTCATTTGGCTCGGGGTATGAAAGCCCTCAAATCGGAAATTTGCCAGGTTGACCCCAATTTGCACTCCAAATATTCCTTGCATGTTGGAGTACTCTCACATGAACACTGGGCCATGGTGTGGACTGCTTGTGCAGTTAAGGGAATGCAAGGATGGAGTTGGAAGTGCCTTCTTTGTTACCTGTCTTCATTTCTTTGCAGGTGAAGTTGTGGGACCCCATCCACCCCTCACAAGATTTTATCCTCACTCCTATCTGACCTTATTGCTGCTCAAACTCTGTTTCCCAGAATGAAATCCCAAGACAATGGAGGAGTGCCCCTTCATGTTGTGAAACACCTGCTCAGCTGGGAACTGAATTCGAGGTAAATTCAAGGGGCACTGTGGACAGGACTGTTAATGTCTTTCCCAGGGTTGGCCACAGGAAAATGAAACACTGGGAGATGCCTGTTTTTCTTGGTGTTGTGTGCTCCTCTTCTTTCTAGAAGGGTGGCTTTTTTTTTCTCAGGGGGAGGTGATTTGGATGCCAGCAGGTCTCGATCAGCTTGCCACTTCACTGTGGATTAATGATCCAAAGAAAAATAAAGAACACAGAGCCCCGCAGCCAAAGCAGAGCCACAACCACAGGCTACCAAAAGGTTGGGAGACTCAAAAAAAAGAAGTGCTGAAGTGTGTTAGCCACATTCCTTTAAGCCTACTCCATTTACAGGCACATTCCCCCCTGCCCTTCCCACACACACACACACACACAATGCCACACACACACACACTCAGACATGACCACTCCCAACACTCTTACAGAAACATACAGCCAGCAGCTCCTGAGGCTGCATGGTTCTGCAGGAAGACCTACCAGGGAGAGAGCAACCCCCATTAAAACAGGCATGCTGTATCTAGAAATCACAGTGGGGCCAGTTTCAAAAATCTCCCCCCCTACAAAGTCTAGGCAGGCCTGAGGAATCCTGTAGTTCCTTTTAGATCCTTAGGAATTTCGTGGTTTATTCCTGGGGCTTGTTCTTGACATTTCTTCAGACTGGCTCATGTCTGCCCCCTCCTGCGATCATGGGACTATCCTGTGGATTCCCACAGATAAGACAGGCAACAGTCCACAACCAACACACCTCCACGGAGGTCTCCTTCTCCGTCAAGATGCAGGGACTTGTTACTACGCAACGCTGACATTCATTTTGACGCTAGCCAGAACTCACCATCAGGCCTCGTGCCCTGAGACTAGCGCACGTGCATTCATTAGGCAGCTCCCGGAGCCCGACTGTCGGAGCTGTCAGAGTTGAAGAAGAAGATGGTTCAGGCAGAGGCAGCCTGTTATCGGGAAAAAGGCTGACTGCGAAAACCCATTGCAGGACCCTAAAATTCTCCAACTCAGGGCCCATTTGGATCTTCTACACGGTAGGCTCCCGCTGCGGGAAGTGGCATTTCAAGACTGTGAGGTGGTCGCTGGAAATTGCTTTTCTGACTCCATTCTGGAAAGAGGCTATGTACAAGAATCCGGTCCCACTAGGACTGGAATATAGTCTGGTGTGTTGTTGTTGCAGGTTCCTTAGGTGATAGAATCATACCTGAGACCGCATAGGCGGATGTCCGCGAACGACAGCCGGCTCTTGCCCTCACTGCCTCCCTTCATCATGGGACTCGCAGGGACTCTCTAGGAAAGGCAACAACGACGGCAAAGGCAAGTCCAATGTGGAGCCGTGTTCTCACACCTTGGACTCGCCTCCCACTGGTGCAGATGAGGTTGAGACAGTGTCTTAGAGGCCGTCAATGGCGATGGCAAGCCTGGAAAGGGTGTCCAGTAGTGCTGCTGAGGGGCCCTGTGGATTCCCCAATGAAAGCAAAGAAAAATCAAAGCTCCTCTGAGAGAACTAGCTGCCTTTTCCTAAAGTCCAAGTTCCACCTCCCGGGTTCATGGCATTCTCCTGCCTCAGCTTCCTGAGTAGCTGGGACTACAGGCGTGTGCAACTACGCCCAGCTAATTTTTTGTATTTTTAGTGGAGATGGGTTTTCACCGTGTTAGCCAGGATGGTTTAGATCTCCTGACCTCGTGATCCACCCGCTTCAGCCCCCCCAGCTGCTGGGATTACAGGCATGAGCCACCGCACCTGGTCAAAATATTTTCTTTTAACAGGTTTTAGGATTTGATAAAACCAAAAAGATAGGAGCCTGCATCTTTGTAAACCCTAACAAGATTTTTCTATGTATTTTCCTTATAAAATAATGAAGCTAATTTTTAAGGAGAAGGATTATAAATTTAATTTGATTTAAATTACTTGAATTTTCTTGCTGACCATACCTAACCTTTTACACAACATTAGCAGCCACATTGAAAACAGTAAAAAAAAAGTGAAATTTTTAAAATATATTTAATCTGATACATCTAAAATATTGTTTTAACAGGTATTCAGTATAAAAATACTAATAAGATATTTTACATTTATAGCTTGTATGAAGTCTTTAAAATCTCATCTGCTTTTTAAATTTAAATCACATCCCAGTTCAGACTGACACCTTTCAAGTGTCAATGGCCCAATGTGGTTTAAGGTTCTGATTTTGACAGCATTTGGAAAATACAGAAAAGTAGATGTAAAAACATGTCTAAAGTCATGCCCACCAGAGCCAAACACCATCAGTGCTTTAATATACTTCAGCCAGACTTTTTTCCTGTATGCATACTTCTTTGGTGGGTGCTATACATGGTTGAGATTGTACTCTGGGTTCAGATTTGCACTCTGCTATGTGGTTGATTCAGATCCACAGCTGGTTTGAGGGCCACTGGACTAATGGAAGAAAGAGTCAGTAGACCCCACTTTCGTCCCAGTTATGCTGTTATGTTGTCACTTATTAACCTATAGTGGCATTTGTTCTTTATCTGTAAAGCGGAGGGTTTGAAGTGTGTGCTGGTTGTGCTGTTATGTAATCACTTATTAACCTATATTGGCATTGAATGTGAAGTCAGCTTTAACCAAAGTCCAGTGAAGACCTCCATGCCTTTGCACTTAGAGAGTAGGAGAAGACTCCAGTATTTTCTAGCTTAAACTCTACTATTGGTTTTCTTTTTCCTCTAACATTTTTCATGAGCATTTTCAAAACATAGAAAAGTTGAAACAATTCTAGCTAACACTTATATACCACCTAGATGGCACTATTATATTTGTATTATACTTGCTTCATCATTTTTATCTGTTCATTCATGCATCTGTGTTACTGTCTTTGTGTATTTCAAAGTAAATTGAAGACACCTGCACTTTCCCCTAAGTGTAATTTTTACTTTTAAACCAGACGTCTGCCCTCTTACACACCTGACCACACTTCTGTGTCTTAATTTGACCTGTTGCTTTTCAATAGCTGAGAAGTTTGGGCTTATAGATGATCAGTTTGCAGAGGCTTACCCTCAGCATATCAAGATTGAGTCTTTGGAAATAAAGCCAAGTGAATATAAAAGAGAAGTAGAAGAGCAAATTGGGCAGAAACATGTCAAAAGGTAAGTTTTATCTTATTACTCTTCACAAGTTTGTCTTCTAAAGACTTAATCTTAGGTCTATCAAAAATATCTAGAACTTTTAATACAGAATGTGATAGTATACTGTTGTGCATATTTTTTTCTCACGACATTTGTTTATGTCTTTTGAGTGAGTCCTACAGATACAGTGAATGAGAAAAAAGTATAGATGAAATAAATAGAACATATTTGGACAACATATTTGGACACAGCATTAATGTTGGGCCTAGCTCTGGAGAAATAATTTGTTACTGTTTTTATAGTGTAATAGTTGGAATTTTAATTTTTTGATCAATTTGCCATTGAAGTTTTTTAAAGATGCCAAGATAACAAAAATTGAAATGGAAGTGAAAAGAAAGTATGAGAAGGAATTAGTTGTGTTCCAGAATGATTTTGATAATGCTTGTCAAGCACAATCTGAAGCCCTCATTCTTTGTGAAAAGAGTATCCCTTAGATAAATGACAAGCACCATGAGGTGGTATTTACAAATATTTCACTGGGTGGCTAATTCCTGCAGCTATCAGTAGGTTGTCTCAAGATCCAGGAACAAGATTGTACAAGTGATGGAACAATGCCCCAGAAGTGCCATAGGGACTGGAGCCAAGAGGGCAAAAGAATCAAATAGAAAGAAGGATGGACCTTGAAAAGGATACACATATTTGCTTCCTCTGAGACTGGTGGAAAGGCAAGAATTGCAAAGATGAACAGTCAACTTGGGATAATGAAAAACACACCCTTGAAAAGCTCCATATACTCAGACAATTTAGAGGGATAGATAATGAGTTGTAGGAGCAGCTTGGAGGTGCAGACTAGCTCATGTGGGTAAGGGAAGAATAGCTCCTTAAAGCAGAGAGGACTGATCACCTGTACTGAGGGCCCAACTGTGGTTGGGCTAGCCTGGAATTGAGAGGAACCAAACCACATACTTGTAGGTGAGTTTCCTGTTCTAGCTCTGTGGAGGAATTGTAAGTGTCTTTCTCTTCTGTCCCTTTCACTGAGGGTGGAAAGATGGAGATGCTTCAGAAATGGAGGCTTGCAGAGCCTAATTTGTTTTAATTGAGAAAGGCAGCCTATTTAATTGAGGATTCTGGGGCTCTCTTGGGTAGTGAAGGGAAGCAGAGGAGACGGCAGGTGGCTGCTAACATGGGAGAAAGGGAGGGTTCAGTGGCAGTCTCAGTGATCAAGGACCAGATCTGGAAAGACTGGCAGGTGGAAGAATAAGGATGGCCCAAGAGTACAGAACTGCAGAATGAGCATTCAGGTGGAGACTGGAAATCAAAGACAGTATGCTGCCATTGGAGGCAGCCATGGAAACGAGCAAGAGTGAAGATCCCTGGGGTAAAGGAGTCACCAGAGCCACAAGGGTCATCCATGTGGCCATTTGATATCATCAGCAGGAAAGTAACTGGATAGGACACGAAGACGATGAGAAGTGGCAGGGAGTCCCAAGTTGGCAAGTGGGATTAGATCTACTCCTTTAAGAAATCTTACTCCTTTTCCAAGGGTATGTCTCAGACCAGACTGGATTTACTGCAGTATTTCCAGCATACATACAGAATGGCTGCTTCCAGACATTAACAGTAGGAAGGCGTCCCCCTAGGGTCCACTCTTGCTTAGGACTTCTCATTGAGACCTAGTTATGTAATGTGAGGGGCACCCCTCTAAAATTTTATATAGCACTTCTGTGAATTGGGCTTGCTTCAGCTATAAAAATGAGTTTTGGAAGCACAGATCTTCAAGGTGATTGAAATGTTTTTAGACTAATAACTTCATCTTCAAGACAGTTGACTGACTAGATTCCTGTGTATTTAACTGCAAGTATCTGAAAGCTTTGAGGAAGACTGCCAGCCTCATAAAAAGCACCATGTCTGTATTTCCTCACCTGGAATATCAACCCCCTTCTCTCCCTGATAAAAGCATAGTGTCATTCAAAGCTAGTGAAAACACAACAGGTTTAAACGAATATACGTCTTCCTTGTTGGAATGCAAGGTTTCAGCCTTATTCAACTAGTTATTCTAGCTTCATAGTATTTACTCCTCCAAATCCTGTTAAACTACATTTCCATATATTCCTAACATGCCTTCTGGAATGTATACTACTTAGTTGTTTAACATCTCAGTCCCTTATCCAAATATATATCAAATATATATATATAAAATATATCATATATATATCATAAATATATACACACATACATACATATATATACAGTCATGGATAACACTGCAGGACCCTGTCTCTCGTCTCTCTCTCTGTATATATATATATACATATGCACACATATGTAATTGATATACATATATATACACACATATGGAATTGATATACATATATATATACACACATATGGAATTGATACTATGGTTGATTTGAAGTCTCACTATGGACACTATAAAGACTATTCTGTTTTTAAGTATTTGGAATAGTTAAGAATAAGTATGGTTAAGAATAAATTATAATTGATTTGAAGTCTCACTATGAAGACCATTCTATTCTTAAGTATTTGGAAGTCCTGAATGATATATCTATCTTTTGCTCTCTCTTTGAATACTTCAATATTCAATCAATGGTCCTTGTTTTTCATGGTTTTCTTGTTTTGTTTTATTTTGGTTTTGTTTTGGTATTGGGTTAAGAGACAGGGTCTTCCTATGTTGCCCAGGCTGATCTCAAACTCTTGGGCTCAAGTGATCCTCCTACCTCAGCCTTCTGAAAAGCTCTAATTACAGGTGCAGGTGACCACACTTGGCTAAAGCTGATACATTATTAAGCGACAAAAGCAAATATTGTAATGTAAATATATATGGACTAATTAACTGAACCCCACAGTTAGAAATAGCATTATAGAAGATTCGGGTACATAAATATACTTTCTTTTATTTCTTTTCTTTTCTTTTCTTTTTTTTTTTTCTGAGATGGTGTTTCACTCTTGTCACCCAGGCTGGAGTGCAATGGTACAATCTTGGCTCACTGCAACCACCGCCTCTGGGTTCAGGTGATTCTCCTGCCTCAGCCTCCTGAGTACCTGGGATTACAGGCATGCACCACCATTCCCAGTTAATTTTGTATTTTTAGTAGAGACAGGGTTTCACCATGTTGTCCAGGCTGATCTGAAACTCCTGAACTCAGGTGATCCACCCACCTTGGCCTCCAAAACTGCTGGGACTACAGACATGAGCGAAAGTGTCCAGCCCATAAGTACACCTTTATTAGTTTGTAACTAATAGTATCATTCTTTCATCCCAGAATTGATTTTGGCCATTTATCACTGTAACTATTGTTTAAGTGTTAATTATCTACCATGAGAAACCACTTCCCTCTTGAGGCTCTCCCACTTCCCTTAGTCAGAGACTCTCCCACTCTTCTCAGTCAGATGCCACAGCCCCCTGGTTCTGCTGGTTTTAATACCCTGTAACCAGGCCAGTTCATAAAATACGCTGAGGACTTCTGGCTCTTTTCTTCTATTTCCCAGCAGTAATGGTCATTAGCAGTTTTCATCTGTTAAACTAAAAGCATGTCACATGATGTTTTTCCTAAATTTGTTAACTCAGTTATTATGGTTCATTTACTTTATTCATGTATTTGTTTATTTATTTATTTATTGCTAATTTCTGGACCCAGAAGCTCCAGAAAAACATAACAGCATGAGTGAGGACTTAGAAGATGAGAGCAGAATACAAAGTCTCTTGAGGAGAGCTATGACAGAAAGCTCAGGAGCAAAATTCTAAAGTAATTGTTTGGCACTTTTAAAGAAGTAGTATGTATAAATTAAGTTGGTAGAAGTATAACAAAAACTGAGGAAGTAGTCTATGATTAATATCTTATGCAAACTTTAGTGTTTGAAAAAATATATATGTCTATCAATAGCCAATACTTTCCTGCATTTGAGTTAAGGTAGTTTTTAAAAGATAAGCTATAGAGAAACACACCCTCTTTTCTTGTTACTCATGGCATCTCTAACATTTGTTGAGGGCTGTAATTTGCTTTAACTTTCAGGGCACCTTGTGACTTGCTCAGGTTGCATAGTAGATAAGCTGCAAAAGTTGAATTATAATCACTTTTAGTCACCTTTTCCTCTACCCCACTCATACTGCCACAAAGATGGGAATATCTAACAATATATAAATTATACATAGCTGTCATAGTATTTGTCAGTGTCCATGGGCCTTGTATTCCTTTATGATTCTGCAAAGTCAGAATCAAAAGAGCTAAAATTAACTATGTGAGGAAAATGTGATATAGGGAAAGGAAAAAATAGACTACTTTTGTTATTTTGGCTTTTCTTTACTCTGAACTTTTGTATCAGTGAGTAATATCTCAGTGCTAAGATACTATGTACTTGTGGTAATTTTCAGTGGGTGTGAAAGCATCTGACACATAAAAAGTGCTCAGTTAATATTTGTCATAAATGTGTCATGAGGAAAGGACTCACGTGCTCTGGGCATTTATGTGGCCTATTTTTATCACCTTCCTCATAATTTACCATCAATATTCCATTACATAATACTTGCAAACACTTGTTGAAGTTATTCTTCAAACAAATTCTATGTTTTTTATTGGACAGTTTTTTTTAATCAATTCTGAAATGATGTATTTTACCCACATTCTCTGTGTCTGTTTCTATACTAAAATAAGGAACCTGGAAAGTTCTTTACTGAAATTTTAGGAATAAATGAATTAAAGTATGTGTGTTAATTTATACTGTTGTGGAGCTAGTGAACTATTTGGTATCATAGTTACAGCTTCTACCGTCTGCATGGGGTCTGTCTGGCTTTGGCGATTCTCATACAACTTTGGCGAGTGTTGGAGTTTGGAAACTGTTCACCACAGGAGTGTTTCTTTGTCCTTTTGGAACCAAAAGGGCAGCTTGTAACCGCTTGGAAAGAAAAGTGAAAATTTGAAAATGTGCCTTTGGGTATTGCTAATTCAGATATAATGCCCTTGGCACATGTTTCCCAGGACTGTGCTTGGTCCCTGGGCACAAAATTTGTTACATTGGTTTGGGGTTGGCAGATACGACAAGTGGATTGGAAGTGACTGTCTAATTATCATTTGGGATTGAGTCTGTTGTGTGCTCTGTAAATTTAATTTTCTTCTGTGCTCTTTGGGTCAGCTGAGACCAACTGAAAAGTGATGCTTTCAGTAACCTCATAACAACACAACCCTCCATTTTGTGTGAGTAAGCTTTATAGCATCAAGGCAACATTTTACTGGACATTTTATGTTCGGAAGTTAGATCCCTGGATTTAGCACTGAGGGACTTTGAAGTTTACAAAATGTCGTGTTCAGTGCCCTCAGTTGCAGCTCTGACGTAGATTATCTGCATTGATAATGGTCTTTCCATAAAGATAACCGAGGAACTCATATTTAGTCGTTCTGATTCGCATGTATCAACTTCAACTAAAGGAGGACCACATCACTAGAACTAATGTACTGATTGAAGATGAAAGGAAGAATAAAGGTGATGTTTGGGTGGGGAAAGAAGCGTATTTTTCAGTTCTGATAAAGTTGATTAGCTTCCCAAGTTGGGTCTGTTCCTGTCCTGTATTCTGAAAAAATATAGCTTATACTCCATTGTTCCTACAAAATTACACATTTTTTTGTAATTCTAATTATAAAAAATTAAAAACATTGTCTTCACTGAGTTTTGAGAAACCCTCATGTTTAATATTATATGCATTCAGAAAGGCCTGTGATTTATCCTGGATATTTTACTCAACTTGATTTCAAGATATTTTGATAAATGTGTAAGTGTCCAGAAGTTGGCAGCAACTTATTGCCTGTGGTACATATTACTCCTAACCATGAGATACTTTATTTTACACTTACAAAAAAGTTTAACTTCTCTGTCCCATGTGGCATAGTTTCTTATTTCATTGGCTTCTAATGTATTTTTTATTTATAATATTTTACTTGATATATAACTTCCTGTATTCTTGTATGTATTGGCCTGAGACTGGAAGATGAGTAACTTTTCAATCTTCTGACATTCTACATTTCAATGTGTCTCTAGGAAATTGCCTATAATGAGAAGTAAATTTTTGGTAGAAATTTCAAATAGATTCTTGGAAGTAAACCAAGGATGGGTACTCGATGTTGACCAGACACCCTATAAGTGACTTCACCTTTTACTACTATCTTGTGGAGACTAACTCTTCTTTTATGGGTTAGTACCATCAGCTAGGTAATAAATTATACTTTGGTGATATAGCTACAGAGATTCATGACAGATGAAATGAAAATGACAACATAATAACTTTGGTACAGTAACATTATTGACTGTTACAATGTAATAACAGACAGATCTTTGTCTTCAAGGAAGTTAAGAACTATGAGTATTAGGGCCTTATGCTCTGAGCAGATGGTGTAACTCTGCTTAACATGTTTAGCAGGTGGAATTTCATGACATACATGGCAGATACAGTGTTATTTCTCACTTGCCCATGAAAGTTTTAACCCCTACATATGCTATTTCATATTTTAAAATAATGATCATTAGGTCTGGCATACTGGCCATGAATGTTAAACAGCTTTTATATTCACTAGGAAAATATTGTGGTGTTTAATGGGCTGTTTATTTCAGGAAAAGCTGTTTGTTTGCAAGGGGAGCTCCTAGTTATTAATGCAAAAAAGGAGGAACTCAATCAATCTGTAAATTGTATGAAAGAACTTAAGGTAATTGTTAAGCATATTGTTTTTTGAAATAGATTTTAAGCAGTATGTGAAATTTTAGTCATACATAATTTATCCCAAGTCACCTGTCTTTCCTTCAGCAAATCATTTGTCATGTTTTGAACAGAGTTTCACAGTTCTAGCAAATATAGATGGGCCATGCTATCTCACTGTTGTGACTGTCACTCCCTTAATGATATACAAGATTGAGCATCTTTTTGTTTGCTTACCATCTGTGTATCTTCATTGATGAGGTAGCTGCTCAGCTCTTTACCCATTTTTAATTGGATAGTCTGTCTTATTGTTGAGTTTCAATATTTCTTTGTGTATTTTCAGGGCAAGTTCTTGCTTAGATCTGTATTTTGCAGATATCTCTTCTCAGACTGTGGCTTATCTTTCTGTTTCCTGAAGAAGATTTTATGCAGAGTGTAAACTTTTAATATGAGAAGGCCTACATTGTTAATTATTTTTTTCTGTTATGGATAAGCTTTAGTGTCTTATGTTAAAACTCATGACCAAACCCAAGGTCACATAGGTCTCTTTCTGTGCTTTCTTCTACAAGTTGAATAGTTTTACACTGTAAGTCTCAGGACTATGTTGAGAAAAATTTTCTGTAAGTTGTAAAATGTGCCATCTCTGTTCATTTCATTGTCTGTGGTTTCCGGTTAATGGTCCCTTCATCATTTTCAGCAAAAAACAAACAACAACAAGAAAACCCAGGATAACAGGCAGCATTTCAGTTGGAATTTCCAAAATGATGGCACTGAACAATCTGAAGTCTGCTTTTATTTAGTGCCCCTGGCCAGTCAGAAAAGAATGCACAGCTGCCTCACCATGACCACCTGGGTCCTGCAGTTCTGCCAGCAGCCAGTACGGGACACATGAGCCTGCCTTTTCTGACCCTTGGAGGACCCGCGTGTTCAGCACATGCCACCTGAGGATGAGAGCTCCATTCTCCTCAGCACAGACTCCAGCCACACTGCCTCACTCCAGTTGGAGGCAGAGATAAGTAAAAACCTTCCTCTAACTGCTGAGGATCAGGGACCCACTAGAAGGGTTTTGTGTGGAAAATTAGAAACAAAAAAATATTCCTATGGCTCTAGTGCACCCCAAGGACTTTCCCCACACCCAAGTGTGGTGACCACAATGCCAGGTGCACGCCATGACCTCGTGACACAAATATAGCATTTGTCACACAATTATAACACCTACAATGGAGATACATCTGTAAACAAATATATCACCCATAATACAGTTGTGACACTTGTAATACTAATGTAACAACTGTAATATTGATCTGACACCTGTAATACAACTGTAAGACTCATAACAGCAATAAAACACTCAGAATACCAATATAGCATCTGAAATACAAATATAATCACCCTAATACTGATCAAACACCCTTAATAGAACTCTAACTCTCATAACACCAATGTCGATTCACAATACAAATGAAACATCCATAACACTGATGTAACATCTATAGTGCTCTCTTGACACCTGTAATACAACTGTAACACTCACAATACCAACATACAACTCATAATACCAATATGGCATCTGCAATACAAATATAACAACTTTCATACTGATGTAACAACTTTCATATTGATCTAACACATATAATACTAATATAGCACTCCTAATACCACTGTAACATTTGTAATACAAATAGAACAACAATAACACTGATGTAACACCCGTAAATACTGATGTGACACCTGTCATACAGATGTAAGACCTGTAATACTGACATAACATTCCTACACTTACAAAGGCAGTTGGTTTCACAGCTTCCACTGAGCTGGATTTCGCTCCTATAATGAAGTTTGATGTCGTTGTCTCTGCTTTAGTGACATGGTATTGACATGGTTGTTTTCATTGAAAAGGAGTTTACTTCCCAATAGTTTTATACCTCTAGGAAACTTGAAATAGCAGTTAGTATACTTTATCCTTTCTCCCAGATTCCCGACTGGTTGTTGCTGTGCCATATTTGCAGCTTCATTCAAAATATCCCACTGTGTTTTACAAAAAGTAGAAACACTCTCCCAAATTACCATCATGTAACTACCAAATCAGGAAATACAGGGTTAGTATTGGTAATTGTAATGGCAAAATATTTATTTACAAGCACAAATTTAATCCTGTCACTTTCCTGATTTAATTTTGCTAATGGTTTTGAGAGGTGAAGCCACCTGAACTTCCTGGGTTGAGTGGGGACTCAGAGAAGTTTTCTGTCTAGCTAAAAGATTGTAAGTGCACTAATCAGCACTCTGTAGAAACACACTAATCAGCACTCTGTGTCTAGCTGAAGGTTTGTAAATGCCCCAATCAGCACTCCATAAACATGCACCAATCAGTGCTCTGTGTCTAGCTAAAGGTTTGTAAACACACCAATCAGCACTCTATAAAATGGACCAACCAACAGAATGTGGGTGAGAACAAACAAAACAATAAAGGCTGGCCACCCCAGCCAGCAGCAGCAACCTGCTTGGGTCCCTTTCCACTCTGTGAAAGCTTTGTTCTTTTGCTCTTCATAATAAGTCTTGCTGCTGCTCACTCTTTGGGTCTGCATTACCTTTGTGAGCTGTAACACTCACCATGAAGCTCTGTGGCTTCATTCCTGAAGTCAGCAAGACCACAAACCCACCAGGAGGAACAAACAACTCTGGACATGCCACGTTTAAGAGCTGTAAAACTCACTGCCCAGGTCTGTGGCTTAACTCGTAAAGTCAGCAAGATAACAAACTGACTGGAAGGAATAAACTCCAGACACATCTGAACATTTGAAAGAACAAACTCTGGGCACACCATCTTTAAGAACTGTAATACTCACTGCGAGGGTCCAAGGCTTCATTCTTGTAGTCAGTGAAACCAAGAACTCACCAGAAGCAACCAATTCTGGACATGTTTTGGCGACCCTGAAGGGACACTCACTAAGCAGTGAGTATCATGGGACCCCTTTCACTTGCTATTTTGTCTTATTTTTCCTTAGAATTCAGAGACTAAATGCTGGGTACCTGTTGGCCTGTTAAGAGCAACTAGCATGGCCACCACACTAAAGACTTGGGTGTCAGGCTTTCTGGGAAAAGGCGCTCTAACAAACTCAGACTCTTCGGAGTTGGGAGTGTTGATTTGCCTGGAACCAGCTTCTGCTTTTCCTGTACTTCTGGGATGAGCCGCGGGTCACCAGAGAGGAAAGCCATTCAGTTGTGGGGTCCCAACAAGTTGATTGACCCAGCAGCCATGAGCAGAACTCTCAAAGTCATGTCGCCCAAGCGAGACTCACCCGTCTATCCTATCTATCATGATGCTTGCCTCCTGGGTCCTAATGCTTGTCAGACAAACTTCCTCTTGCCTTTCTTCTCCTAGGTTAGTCCTGCTTCTAAAAACCACTCCTTGTCACTGGAGTTTTCTAGTTCATCCTATAAGAATGATTTCTAGTATAAACTTCAGGGTGCTTTTACCTTCTTTAGCTCTCCAGGCTCACCAATCACAAAGACATAATTTTTGCCCAAAGCCCCATCATGGGTTGGGGTTACTATCTGGAATTTTAGGATCCTTCCTTAGACTAGCAGGTCTAAAAAAAGCAATGCCTGAAGCTAGGATATGGGGAGCTTCAGAAATGGTATCTTTCCTATTCATATGAGGACAAAAAGCATCAATCTTCCAACTCTTGAGATCCCTTCCCTTACTCAGGGTATGGTCCTCCACTTCATATTTGGGGTGTAACATCATTGTAGGACAGTTGTAAAGTCCCAATACTAACAGGAGAATGCTTAGGACTCTACAAAGTTTTCAAGAATCTGTCAGTAGGAGCCACTAAATCCAATTTTTCTTGGTCCCCTTTGTGGTCAAGGAGGACAGGAAAGGGTGCAGGTTTTTGAGAATGTGTCAGCAAGGGCCACTAAATCCAACCTCCCTCAGTCCTCTTTGTGGTCTAGGAGGAAAACTAATGTTTCTGCTGCTGCATCAGTGAGTGCAACTTTTCTAATCAGCGGGGTCCAGGGACCATTGTGGGTTTCTGGTAAAGAGGTGATTCTGCTGCTGCATCAGTGAATCAACTATTGTGATCAGCAGGGTCCAGTGACTGTTGTGGGTTCTTGGGCAAGAGGTGTTTCTGCTGTTGCATTGGTGAGCACAACTATTCTGATCAGCAGGGTCCAGGGACAATTGTGGATTCTTGGGCAGGGGCAGAAACAAACAAATCAAAACTGCTGGTGGTTTTGTCTTTCAGATGGGAAACACTCAGGCATCAACAGGTTCACCCTTGGAATGCATCCTAAGCCACTGGGACCAGTTTGACCCACAAACCCTGAAAAAGAGGTGGCTTATTTTTTTCTGCACTATGGCCTGACCCCAATATTCTCTCCCTGATGGGGAAAAATGGCCACCTGAGGGAAGTAAAAATTACAATACTTTCCTACAGCTTGACCTTTTCTGTAAGAGGGAAGCAAATTTAGTGAAATACCTTGTGTCCAAGCTTTCTTTTCATTGAAGGAGAATACACAACTATGCAAAGCTTGCAATTTACATCCTAGAGGAGGACCTCTCAGCTTACCTTCATACCCAGCCTCCACTAAACTCCTCTGCCCAGAGGGAAACAAGCAAAAGAAATCTCCAAAGGACCACAAAAACCCCCAGGCTATCAGTTATGTCCCCTTCAAGCTGTAGGGGGAGGGGAAATTGGCCTAACCTGGGTACATGTCCCCTTCTCCCTCTCTGATTTAAAGCAGATCAAGGCAAACCTGGGGAGGTTTTCAGATGATCCTGATAGGTACATAGATGTCCTACAAGGGTATAGAGCAAACCTTCAATCTCACTTGGAGAGATGTCATGCTATTCTTAGATCAAACCCTGGCCTTTAATGAAAAGATTGTGGCTTTAACTGCAGCCTGAGAGTTTGGAGATACCTGGTGTCTTAGTCAAGTAAATAATAGAATGACAGCCGAAGAAAGGCACAAATTCCCTACCGGTCAAGCAAGCCATCCCTTGTATGGATCCCCACTGGGACCTTGACTCAGATCATGGGGACTGGGAGTCATAAATATCTATTGAACTGTGTTCTAGAAGGACTAAGGAGAATTAGGAAAAAAAACCATGAATTAGTCAACGATGTCCAGCTTAACTCAGGGAAAAGAAGAAAATCCTTCTGCCTTCCTTGAGAAGCTATGGGAGGACTTAAGAAAATATACACCCCTGTCACCTGACTGACTCAAGTTTCAGTTGATTCTAAAAGATAAATTTATTACCCAATCAGCCACAGATATCAGGAGAAAGCTCCAAAAGCAAGCCCTGGGCCCTGAACAAAATCTGGAGGCATTATTGTTATTATTATTGTTATTATTATTATTATTATTATTATTTTGAGACAAAGTTTTTCTCTTGTTGCCCAGGCTGGAGTGCAGTGTCACCATCTCAGCTCACTGCAAGCTCTGCCATCTGGAGGCATTATTAAACCTGGCAACCTCGGTATTGTACAATAGGGACTGAGAGGAACAGGCCCAAAAGGAAAAGAGAGATCAGAGAAAGGCCACAACCTTAGTCATGGCCTCAGACAAAGAAATCTTGGTGGTTCAGAGAGGACAGAAAACGGAGCAGGCCAATCACCTGATAGGGCGTTTTACAAGTGTGGTTTATAAGGATATTTTAAAAAAGATTGTCCAATGAGAAAAAAGCCACCCCCTCATCCATATGCACAATGCTGAGGCAATCACTGAAAGGCCCACTGCCTCAGAGGGCAAAGGTTCTCTGGCCCAGGAGCCCACAACCAGATGAACCAACAACAGGACTGAGGTTGCCTCAGGCAAGCACCAGCTCATGTCATCTCCCTCACTGAGCCCCAGCTACATTTAACCATTAAGGGCCAGGAAATTGACTTCCTCCTAGACACTGGTGCAGCCTTCTCAGTGTTAACCTCCTGTCAGAGATGACTGTCCTCAAGGTCTGTTACCATCCAAGGAATCCTGGGACAGCCTGTAACCAGGTATTTCTCCCACCTCCTCAGTTGTAATTGGGAGACTTTATTCTTTTCACATGACTCTCTTGTTATGCCTGAAAGTCCCACACCCTTATTAGGGAGAGATATATTAGCCAAAGCTTGAGCCATTATCTATATGAATATGGGGAACAAGTTATCCATTTGTTGTCCCCTATTTGAGAAGGGAATCAACCCTGAAATCTGGGTATTGGAAGGACAATTTGGAAGGGAAAAAATGCCTGCCCCATCCAAATGAGGCTAAAAGACCCCACCTCTTTTCCTTATCAAAGGCAATATCCCTTAAGGTCTCAAACTCATAAAGGATTACAGGATATTGTTAAACACTTAAAAGCTCAAGGCTTAGTAAGGCAATGCAGCAGTCCCTCCAACAGCCCAATTCTAGAAGTACAAAAACAGAACCATCAGTGGAGTCTAGTGCAAGATCATAGACTCATCAATGAAGCAGTAATTCCTGTATATCCAGTTGTAACAAACCCCTATAACCTGCTCTCTTAAATACCAGAGGAAGCAGAATTGTTCACTGTTCTGGACCTCAGAGATGCCTTCTTCTGTATTCCCCTACACTCTGACTCCCAGTTTCCCTTTGCCTTTGAGGATCCCACAGACCACACATCCCAACTTACGTGGACGGTCTTGCCCCAAGAGTTTAGGGACAGCCCTCACCTGTTTCACTGGGCACTGGCCCAAGATCTGGGCCACTTCTCAAGTCCAGGCAATCTGGTCCTTCAGTATGTGGATGATTTACGTTTGACTACCAGGCTGGAAGCCTCATGCCACTAGGCTACTCTAGATCTCTTGAACTTTCAAGCTACTCAGGGGTACAAGACCTCTTTTCGACCAGGTCAAATATCTAGGTTTAATCCTAGCCAGAGGGACCAGGGCCCTCAGCCAGGAATGAATACAGCCTATGCTGGCTTATCCTCACCCTAAGACATTAAAACAGCTGTGGGGGTTCCTTGGAACCACTGGCTTTTTCCAACAATGGATCTCTGGATACAGCAAGATGCCCAGACCATTGTATACTCTAATCAAGGAGACCCAGAAAGCAAATACTCATCTAGTAGAATGGGACCTGGGGCAGAAAGGGCCTTCAAACCCTTAAAGCAGACCCTAGTACAAGCTCCAGATTTAAAACTTCCCACAGGAAAAAACTTCTCTTTGTACATCACAGAGAGAGCAGGGATAGCTCTTGGAGTCCTTACTCAGACTCATGGGAGAACCTCAAAACCAGTGGCAAACCTAAGTAAGGAAATTGATGTAGTAGCAAAAGGCTGGCCTCACTGTTTACATTTGGTTGTGGTGGTGACTGTCTTAGTGTCAGAGGCTATCAAAATAATACAAGGAAAGGATCTCACTGTCTGGACTACTCATGACGTAAATGGCAGACTAGGTGTCAAAGGAAGTTTATGGTTACCAGACAATCACCTGCTGAGATGCCAGGTGCTACTCCTTGAGGGGCTGGTGCTTCAAATATGCATGTTTTGGCCCTAAACCCTGCCACTTTTCTCCGAGAGGATGGGGAAACAATTGAGCATTACTGCCAACAGATTATAGTCCAGACTTATGCTGCCCAAGATGATATCTTAGAAGTATCCTTAGCTAATCCTGACCTTAACTTATATACCAATGGAAGTTCATTTGTGGAGAATGGAATAAAAAAGGTAAGTTTCTCCATAATTAGTAATGTAACCATACTAGAAAGTAAGCATCTTCCTCCAGGGACCAGAACCCATTTAGCAGAGCTAGCAGCACTTACCTGAGGCTTAGAACTGGGAAAGGGAAAAAGAATAAATGTGCATACAGATAGAAAGTATGCTTATCTAATCCTACATGCCCATGCTGCAATATGGAAAGAAAGGGAGTTCCTAACCTCTGAGTGAACCCCCATTAAATACACAAGGAAATTATGGAGTTATTGCATGCAGTGCAAAAACCCAAGGAGGTGGGAGTCTTACACTGCCGAAGCCATCAAAATGGGAAGGGGAGTGGAGAGCAGTAGCATAATTGGCTAGCAGAGGCAGGGAAAGACCAGCAGAAAGGAAAGAGAGAAAGAGACAGAAAGTGACAGAGAGAGAGAGAGAGAGGAAGTGACAGAAAAAGAGGGAGTCAGAGACAGAAAGAGAGAGAGAGAAAGTCAGGGAGGAAGAGACAAAGAGGGACTCAGAAAGAGAGAGAGAAACAAATAAGAAGTCAAAGAGAAAGAAAGAGAGATGGAAGTAGTAAAGAAAAAACAGAGTACCCTATTCTTTTAAAAGCCAGGGTAATTTTCTGTCTACCCAGCCAAGGCATATTCTTCTTATGTGGATCTTCAACCTATATCTGCCTCTCAGACAGTTTGCAAGAAATAACAAAATCTGTCCTTACTCTACAGTCCCAAATAGACTCTGTGTCAGCTGTGACTCTCCAAAGCCACCAAGGCCTAGACCTCCTCACTGCTGAGAAAGGAGGACTCTGCACCTTCTTAGGGGAAGAGAGTTGTTCTTACACTAACCAGCCAGGGATAGTATGAGACGATGACCGGCATTTACAAGAAAAGGCTTCTGAAATCATACAACAGATTTCAGACTCTTATACCAACCTCTGGAGTTGGGCAACATGACTTCTACCCTTTCTAGGTCCTATGACAGCCATCTTGATATTAGTTGCCTTCGGGCCCTGTATTTTTAACTTCCTTGTCAAATTTGTTTCCTCTAGGATTGGGGCCGTCAATCTACAGATGATCTTACAACTAGAACTGAAAATGAGCTTAACTAACAACTTCTACCCCGGGCCCCTGGATCAGCCCACTGGTCCTTTTACTGTCCTAAAGGGTTCCCCTCTGTGGGACATTACAAATGCAGGGCCCCTTCTTTGCCCCTATCTAGCAGGAAGTAGCTAGAGCAGTCATTGCCCTATTCCCAACAGCATTTGGGGTGTCCTTTTTAGAGGGGGGATTGAGAAGTGAAGCCAGCTGGACTTCCTGGTTTGATTGGGGACTTGGAGAACTTTTCTGTCTAGCTAAAGGATTATAAATGCACAAATAAGCACTCTGTAGAAACACACCAATCAGCACTTTGTGTCTAGCTAAACGTTTGTAAACACACCAATCAGCACTCCATAAAATGGACCAATCAGCAGGATGTGGGTGGGGACAAATAAGGGAATAAAAGCTGGCCACCCCAGCCAATAGTGGCAACCCACTCAGGTCCACTTCCATGCTGTGGAAGCTTTGTTCTTTTACTCTTCATAATAAATCTCGCTGCTGCTCACTCTTTGGTTCCACACTAACTTTAAGAGTTGTAACACTCACTGAGATGGTCTGCGGCTTCATTCCTGAAGACAGTGAGACCACAAACCCACTGGAAAAAATAAGCACCTCTGGACATGCCACCGTAAAGGGCTGTAACACTCAATGTGAAGGTCTGTGCCTTCACTCTTGAAGAGAGTAAGACCATGAACCCACAGGAAGGAAGAAACTCCACACACATCTGAACATCTGAAGGGACAAACTCCAGATATATCATCTTCATGAACTGTAACATGCACTGTGAGGGTCCATGGCTTCATTCTTGAAGTCAGTGAGACCAAGGACCCACTGGAAGGAACCAATTCTAGACACAGTTTCCCACTGAGCTTACAACAAGGACCATAGAACTCAACATGGCTGCCAACCCCAAGTGGTCCTTCCTGTTGCCCTCTCCCATTTAGTGTGCTCAACTGCTTGCAGCCTCGTCTGCTCCCACTTTTGGGGTTCCTGGGTGTCTTAGGGATTTTATGTGCATTCGCAATCCATTCACCCAGTGCCCACCCTTACCTAATTTATCTAATTTTCTAAGGGTTTGTCCAACTGAATCCTTAAAGTCATATCAGTTGTGCTATCTAAGAGTAGAAAAGTTAATAATGTGATGTTTCTAAAGATAAATGATTTGTTATTTGTTAGACTGTTGATGAGATCACTCTCAATTTATAAATCAAGAAAGTAATAGTAAATTAAAAAAGCCCATGGTTGGGATAATGAGTAAAAAAAAAGGCTCAGTGCTGAAGACAAATGACACAACTGATTATTGAAATAACATAATAATTTATTGGAGAGACTGTTACCTTGCTATATATTCTAACTGTGTGTTACTATTTACAAGATATTTTAGGTTTAAATACTTACATTCTATGTAGTCCATCAATACAGTTAACTGACAAAAAGTCCTAGCCCACATCAGGATAATCTATATAAATATTTCTAAACATCCTTAACTGTATAAAGTAATAAAGTAAGCCTAGATATTTCAGCAAATGAATTATTATTATTTATATATTGAAATTCTGAGAAGGAATGTAAGTATGTCACAGCTCTGGTACAGGACTTGGGACAGTTGTGTATCCATGTACCCCATGAACTTAAGCTTCTCTCTTTTACTTCCCACTGGATGGCAAATTCTTGACCCATGGAGACTGAGGGACAAACTGTTACCTTTATTGGAAACTCAAGTTAAGCAGAAAAATCTTCATGTCAGAATATGTTTTCCTGTCAGGTATTTTCTTTTCTCATCCAAGGAAACCTGCTACCCAGCCATACTATTACATTGACTTACCCTCAGGTGGAGCTGGAAAGGACTAATTTTACAACACAGAATCCCATGACTATGCGAAAAGCTAACATATGAAACACTTCATGGTGTAAAACTTATATATTTTACTGTTCATCTTTTTATGTAGTTGTTTTCTCTTGTATTTATTTTTGGTGAAGTTTGTGTTCAACTATTTCTCCATTTTGTATTTCTATTGTCTTTTTTTTTTTCTTGAGTTATACAAGTCTTCATATGTTGTGGATAACAGACTTCTTACATCTACAACGTGCAAATCTTCCTTTGTGTGGCATGTCTTTTCACGTTCTTGATAGTATCTTTCAATGCAAAAAATGTTTAATTTTGAGGAAATTATTTCTTTAGTTGGCTGTATCAGATCTAAGATTTTTGTATCAGATCTAAGAAACCACTTCCAAATCCTAGGTTATGAAGAAGTATCCCTAGGTTTTCTTCTAGAGTTTATGTTTTTATCTTTAATATGTAGGCTTTTGAACCATTGACTTATGAGGAAAGGACACAATTTTTTTTTCTCTCAATGTGGTTAGCTTGTTGTCTAACAGCACTTGTTGAATTTTATGGTCTTGGCTACATGACAAAATCAATTGACCATAGAGGTATGGTTGGGCTTGACATTCAGTTTCATTGATCTCTATGTGTGTCCTTATGCCAATATTACACTGTTTTGATTACTGTTGCTTTTCAGTAATATTTGAAATTGAAAAATGTGAGACTCCAAGTTGGTTTTTGTTTTCAAGATTATTTTGGCTATTCAGAGTCACTTGAAATTTATATGAATGTTAGGATTGGCTTGCCCATTCCTGTCAAAATAACTTTGGTGTTTTCATAGAAATCACAATGAATTTCTAGATTGGTTTGTGTACTACTGTCATGTTAAAAAATATCTTCTAATCCAGAAACATGGAATGTCTTCACATTTATTCAGGGATTCTGGAATTTATTTCAGCAATATTTTGTAACTTTCCATGTCTAAGTCTTGCACCTTGGTTAAATTTATTCTTAAAACATTATTACTGTTGATTTTTTTGTTTTATTTTTTGAGACAGAGTCTTACTCTGTTGCCCAGGCGAGAGTGTGATAATGTGATCATTGCTCACTGCATCATTGAACACTTTGGCTCAGGTGGTCCTCCCACGTTGGCCTCCCAAAGTACTGGAATTACAGGTGTAAATCACCACACCCAACCCATATTTTTACTGTTTTGAAAGATGAAAAGGATGTTTGCTTTATAATCAGTGAAAACATAGTACTTTGAATTGCCCAAAAGTCATAATGCACAAGAGCTCTAAGTTGTATAGTTGACTTCTGGACCATCTGGGTAAAGTTCAAGTGCTTCTCCAAAATTCGTACCTGGTAAGCTTCCCAAATTGTCTTTAAAGTTCTTAAATTGTAGCAATAAAAATAATGACAAGACAAGACACATTTAAACAATACTGAAGTTTTTCCAGGGACGTAAGAAATTTTAACTCTTATACTGTTTGTTTCTGTGGTTGTTTGTTTGTTTTTTGAGACAGGGTCTCACTCTGTTCCCCAGGCTGGATGCAGTGGTGCCATCATGGCTCACTGCAGACTCTTACTCCTGGGCTCAATTGATCCTTCTGCTTTAGCCTCAGCCACCGACCTGGCCCATTTTTATCTTTTGTAGAGAAAAAGATGTACCCTGTTGGCTGGGCTCATTTAAATGCCTGAGCTCAATTCATCTGCCAACCTTGAACTCCCAAAATTCTGGGATTATAGACATTGATAAAACGTTTATTAAGTTAGGGTCAGTTAAAAAAAACAATTTTTTTGCTAAGTGATACACATACTTATAATGTAATTATTTGCATAACTCCAGCAATGCTATGGGCACGTACAAAATCAAAATATTGTTATTTAAAAAAACACTAAAAATATCAAAACACCTAGCCCCATTATTTAATTGTAGAACAGGTTCATTTATTTCTAATTTTCAGCATTTTTATGTCATCATTGTTGATTTCAAAAGCCATATCCAATGGATAAGGCAAAACGACCTATGAATTGGGATATTTGTTTATTTCTCAGTTTGTGAAAATCTCCTTAAATTGCTGACATTGTAAACAAATTTAAACTCTATTATGCAAAAAACAGAAGGCAATCTTCTTTGTGATTACTTTTACAGTTACGTTGCATACAAGGTATGTACTATCTATGAAAAAATACAAACTCAACTACAGGTCTTAAACACTGAAAAGAGTTACCAGTTGATTATAATTTATTTTGTCATATCAATCTATTGTATTTATATACAATCCATTGTATTTATATAGAATCTAGAAAGTTCACAGCTGTCAGCAGTTCTGCAGTTTCAGGTGAAATGGGAATTTAGGAATCTCTGTGGAACTGTAGGTGTAGTGAAATATGTAGGTAAAATATTTGCATGCTTTTGGAAGCACTTGTGAAGGGTTGTCTCTCAAATTGACCTCAATAGTGCCTTTCTCAGCAAAATGATCTGGGCCAGTCAACAAGGGTTTCATTGTTGCTGATGTTTGTGCTGTTCTTATTTTTACAAGAAATTCAGGACTCAGAAGGTATCCATTTGACATCATGGTATTAGAGCTTTCACAAACACTGTAGGTTTTCTCTTCTTCATCCATTATGGTTTTAAGTAATTTTACTCTGATTTCCCAGGAGCTTGAAAGGTTTCTGTTTAGCCCCACAGCCACTGCAGGCAGGTCCCAGTGTAGCAGCACAGCCTCCACTCGAAGGATTTCCCCCACCCCCAGCTGCCTGCATCTGTGTGTTCCAGGGCAGTTGGAGAAATTCTGGCCTGTTATTTTTTTAGAAATAAAATTGTCCAAATTTCATTTTCACGTGGCTAATTTATAGTGTATAGAGAAAGATTTTTTGTGTTGATATTTTGTTTTGTTTGCTTGCTTAATTTGTTCACTAGATTTTATAATTTCTTGTTGGTTCCTCCTGGTTTTCTGTGTATGAGATCTGTGAGTAGTTTTACTTCTTTTTTACGCATATGAGTGGTTTTGTATATATTTTTCTTTTCAAATTGTTCTAGTGGAATGTCTAGTACAGTATTGAATGCAGTGATGTAAGTGAGCATTAGTGCTGTTCCTCATCTAAAAGCTTTGCTTCCCAACAATTTAGATGATGATTGTTATGGGTTTTGCATAAAGACGTTTTATTATGTGAAAAAATTTGGAACACTGTTTATCGGATTTTGTTATCATTAAAATATTTTGACTATCTTTATGTACTTTCTGTAACAGTTGAGACAAATGTGATGTTTTTCCGTCAGTTACTTTACATAGTATATCGAAAGGGATGGGTTTAGAATGGTGAGAAACCCTTGATTGGCTGAAAAAAGAACTTAATAATTGTGGTGTATAATGTTTTTCACTATGTACCAAATTCCATGTACTATTATTTGATTAAATATTATGATGCCTATAATTATCAAATTTAATAACATTTAGTTTTTTATCCTACTGATACCATATATTTAATTCAATACACAATTGGGGTTAGAAAATATATGGTTTGGTGTAATATCATGGGTATTACGGGTCAGAGGTTTGAGTCATAGAGGAGGTATTTAATATTTTCTGAAGCACGATGGGGAAATATTAAGGATAGGATAGAATTTGGGGATTAAGTTGGGCTCAGTGGCTCATGTCCGTAATCCCAGCACTTTGGAAGGCCAAGGTGGGCAGTTCACGAGGTCAAGAGATCAAAACAATTTTGGCAAACATGGTGAAACCCGTCTCTACTCAAAATACAAGAAAACAATTAGCTGGGGTTGATGACACGTGCCTGTATTCCCAGCTACTCAGGAGGCTGAGGCAGGATAATCATTTGAACCCAAGAAGCAGAGGTTGCAATAAGCTGAGGTCATGCCACAGCACTCCAACCTGGCAACAGAGGGAGACTCCATCTCAAAAAAAGAGAAGAAGAGGAAGAGGAAGAGGAAGAGGAAGAAGAAGAAGAAGAAGAAGAAGAAGAAGAAGAAGAAGAAGAAGAAGAAGAAGAGGAAGAAGAAGAAGAAGATTTTGGGAAATAGGGATACGGGTTTACAATTGCAGAACAAAGTTTAGGATTAGATTCTCTGGTAGGGCTGGGGTTGGGATAGGGGTTACTACTGTGGTAGGATTAGCTTTAGAGTTAGAGTTAGGATCAGGGTTAAGGATTAGAGTTAGGTGTTAGAATCAGTGTTAGAAGTTAGGTTTGGGATTGGGTTATGCTTAGGGTTAAGGTAAAAAGGTAGGCATACAGAAGGGTGTTAGGCATTAGGGTCATGGCCTGGATTAGGGTTAGTGTTAAGCTTTATGTTGAGGGTAAGTGTTAAAGGGATTGTGTTAGGGTTAGTGTTTGGTTAAGGTTTAGGGTTAGAATTTACCATTAGGATTACTGTTTAGGGTTACATTTAGGTTCAGGTTCGGAGCTGAGGATTGGGGTTTAAGCTTAGTGTTAGGGTTAGCATTTAGCATTTATGTTTATGGTTATGGTTAGTTGTAAGTTTTACTGTTAGGAATATGGTTAAGGTTTTGGATTTAGGGCTGGCATGACTGTTAGGGCTGGGATAGGGTTAGGGTTAGTTGTCATGGTTAGCATTATATTAGGGTTGGGTTTAGAGTTTAGGAGTAGGGTTAGGGTTTATGGTTTAGGGGTCAGTTAAGTGTTAGGGTTAGCGATTAGCATTTACAGTTAGGGTTAGCATTAAGGTATTTCTAGGGTTGGGGCAAAGATTAAGGTTAGGTTTATGGTTTAGGGTTAGTTTGGATTAGGGTTTTGGTCTAGGTTTAGGGGTAGGGGTTGGCTTAGGGGTTAGGGTAAATATTACAGTTTTGGTTTAATGTTCTGTGCAAGAGTTATGGTTTGGTTTTATTGCTAGGGTTAAGATTATGTTAGGATTATGTTAGTATTAGTGTTAAGATTAGGGGTTTTTGGTTATTATTAGTGTAAGCATTAGGGGATGCAGTTAAAGTTATTTTTAGTGTTTTCAGATTTTGTATTTTACAGTTAGAATTAAAGTTAGGTTTAGGCATTAGAGTTAGGTTTTGGGTTATTGTCTTAGGGTTAATCTTAGGTTTAGGATTCAGAATAATTCTTATGTTTAGGATAAACCTTAGGTTCAGTTTTAGCGTTGTGGTTACGTGTTTGGTTTAGTATTAGGGTTTAGGGTTTGGATCAGGGGTTAGGGTTAGGGTTGGGGTTTAGTATTAGTGTTTTGGTTGGTTTTGGGCTTTTTGTTTTTGTTTGGCTATTGTTAGGGTTGTGGTTATGGGTTAAGATTTGGGCTAGTGTTGGGGCTGGGGTAAAACTTGGGTTTAATTTTTAATATTAGGGTTAGGGGTTAGGGTTTGTCCTGTGTTTAAGGGAGGGTATGGTTTAGGTTTATGATTGGGATTGGTGTTGGTGTAGGTGTAGGGTTAAAGTTAGGGTATCAGGGTTAGCATTGGGGTAAGGGTTATGTTTGGGATTAGGGTTAGTTTTAGGCTTACTGTCAGGGTTAAAATTTAGGGTTAGTGTTAGGGTTGGATTAAGGATAGGGGTTACAGTTAGTGTTGGGTTAAGGTGTAGGCTTAGGGTTAGGATTTAAGGTTGAAATTTAGGTTACAGATTAGAGTTATGATTCATGATGAGCATTAGAGTTTAGGATTAGTGTTAGGGATTAGCATTTGTGATAGGATTAGTGTTAGGGGCTAGGGTTGGATTTGGTGGTTAGGATGAGGGTTAAGAGTTATGGTTAGCCTTTATGTTTTAGGGTTAGGGTTATGGTTAGTTTTCAGGCTTTAGGATTTGGGTCATGCCTTAGGTTTTATTTTATGGTTAGGTTTAGACTTAGTTTAGTTTTAGTGTTAGGGTTCAGTTTTTATGGTTTTGCAATTACGGTTAAGGTTACTGTTAGGCTTATGTGTTGGGGTCAGGGTTATGTTTAGTGTTTTAGGGTTTTATAGTTAGAGTTTCATTTAAGGATTATGGCTTTGTTTGGGGTTAGGGTTTCAAGGTTAGGATTAGGGTTAGGCATTAGGATTAGTATTTAGGGTAAGGGTTAGGATTAGGTTATCGATTATGGTAAGTTGTAGGTTTAGGGTTATTGTTAGGGTTAGATGGTTTTGGTTAGGGTTTAAGATTAGGGTTAGTTCTAGGAGTTAGGATTAGTCTCAGGGTTTAGTGTTAGGGTTTGGGCTTATTGTTAGTGTTTGGGCTTTTATTGAGTTTGGGGTTCTGGGTCTTGGTTTATGGTGAGAGCCTGGGGTTAGGATTAGGGTTAAGTTTAGAATTATTGTATAAGGTTATTGTTAGAGATAGGATGGTTGTGGGGTTAGGCTTTACGATTTTGGTTATTGTTAGTGTTTAGATTTAGGTTAAGGGGTTAAGGTTATGTTCAATATGATTACAGTTAGGGTTAGGATTATTGGTTAGGGTTAGTGTTAGGTTTATCGTTAGGGTAGATATTTGGGTAACACATTAGGGTCAAAGTCATTGTTAGTGGTTCGGCTCAGGGCTAGGGGTTAGTTTTAGGTTTAGGTTTAGGGTTGGTCTAAGGATTAGTGCTAATGTTATGGATTGGGTTTAGGTAACAGGGTTATGTTTGGCTTTGGGGTTGAGGTTGGTGTAAGTGTAGGTTTAGGGTAATGATTAGGGCTAGAATTAGGGAGTTAGGGTTAGCATTATAGGTTAGTGTCAGTCTTAGGTTAGAGTCAGGTTCAGGATTCAGGTTTAGTGGCTAGGGTTAGAATTAGGTGTTAGGGGTTATGGTTAGTGTTAGGGGTAGGATTTTAGTGCTAGTATTAGGTTTTAAGGGAGTATTGGTAGAGATGGGTTAGTTATTGTTTTATGGTTAGGGTTAGTTTTTTGGGGTTAGGGTTTTGGGTTTATGGTTGCGTTTTGGGTTCAGTTCATGGTGTGATTGGGTTGCTGCTGGGTTATGGTTATTATCAGGGTCAGGGTCAGGTTCAGGGGTTAGCATTAGGATTTAGGGTTGGGGTTGGGTTTTGGTTTTTGGTTTGTTTGAGGGGTTAGGCATTAAGTAAATTTAGGCATAGTGTTGATGTTGGGGTTGAGGTTGGAGTTTAGGCTTGCTGTTAGATTTAGGGTTTTTGGGTTAGGTTTAGGGGTAGGGGTTGGGTTAAGGTTATTGTTACAGTTAGGTTTAGGGTTAGGAGAGGTCCTGGGAAACTGGGTACTGCCTCTGGAATACTGGAAAAGCTTTTGATATGGACGGTTGTGACAGTTACTTTTCTCACAGAGGATGGCTGAGACCCATGAATGCTTAGCCTGGTTCATGTGGCCTGGGACCACTGGGCTGAATGCTGTGTCCACTTCTGTACTTTACAGTCTTGCTTGTAGCACACGTGAGCTGTGCTTCTCCCTCAAGACCAGTGTTTATTATGGGCCAGCAGAACCAGGTTCCCAGGGTATGGGGGTCTCCGTTGTGTAGGAGCTGAGACCAGGTTGGCTCAAGTCAGTCTCCCAGTGAGGGCAGAATTATAGGAGACATATGATTTGAGGGGGAGAAGTCCCTCAAATAGAAGAAGTAATGGTTTTCTCCATGGGAGTATTCCATCCACTGCAAGGCCACACCTTGATGAAGCTCACGAAGACATATTCTCCTCTTACCCATACTGATCTCTGCCTGGCCACCCTTGGACCACAGATCTGCTTCTGTTACTAAAATTTAGCTGAATTTTATAGTTTCATGTAGATATGCTAAGTCCTTGGGTCTTTGTGTTTTGTTCTGATTTGGCTCCTTTTATTCAGCCCTGCTGCTTTGAGAGTCACCCTGTGGTGAGTGCATAAGCAATCCATTCCTTTGCACACTGAGCCACATTCCAGGGTGTGGATACGCCACAGCTTCTTCACCCTTCTCCTGTGGATGAGCATTTGGGGCTCTCAGTTGGGTCTAGTATACGTGGGGCTGCTGTGAACATTTTTTATGTATGTAGCCTGTGAACTTGTCTTCATTTCTCATGGTTCACTTTGTGAGTACAGTGGCCACATCATGTCCTGGTAGGTATGAACTGACCTCAATAAGGAACCACTGATTCTTGTCCTAAGTGTTTAATCTATTCCCTCCTTTCCCTCCTGCTTCCCCTACTTTAGTCATAATAACCTCTTGTCTCGTTCACACTTCAGTGCAGTAACTTTTCAGCATACTGTCCTTTCTTTACATTTGAAATCACCAGCTTTTTCTCTATGTGCTGGCTGTGATGCCCTCTCTAAACTTGCATTCTCTGGCCTGTATGTAACACAATCTCCTCCAAAAACCCTATCTATGAAAGGGTTTTAGGAAAAGAGTCTGTTACCTAATGAGTGTCAAATACCTACCTTGGCTCTGGATGGGAGAAAGAAGACTTGGTGGGTCTTGTCATCCATTGTCCCAGAAGATAGAGCTCATCTTTGTTGATAAAAGGAAGTCTGGGTGTGTCCTGGTTGCATGTTCATGTGACTCACAAGCTTTTTCTAAACAACACCTGGAGACCTGGCTGTGGGCTGGAAACTGAGTATGAGGCCACTTGGACTCTGTGTGATTGCAGGTAAGTCACTCAGTCACCTGATCCTGGCTGTCCCTTTGCACAAGGGACTACCCATTTCTTGCAGAGTTGCTGTTAGTTCACCTGAGCAAGACAGCTGTGTGTGGTGGTGCTCAGAAAAAGCTAATTTACCTTTATCGAAATGGGACAAACCATGGATATTATGTGCTGAGGTCTGGATTACAGCAGAACAAGATTCAGAAGACCTTGTAAACTCTGAGGAGGTATCACTGATCACTGGATGTCTGTGAAGGTAGCAAATGGAAAGTGACCTGGAGTTGGAAATGGCCAGTTAGTTGGTCTGTTACAGGTAGTTACACAGGAATGAGTGGGGGAGCAGAGGTTTCTCCCATCCCACCCACCCACCAGGAATGTCAGGTCATTGGGTGATGGTTGGACAGTTTTCATATTGCCTCTCTAAAAATGATAATTTAGCAGCTGGAGCCAGAGAGATACAAGCTTCTACTGATCCACAGCTGTTAACATTAAAGTGTTAATTAAATGCAGGAACCGGGGAGAAGGAAAAAGGGCTTCCAATAAAATCTCAGTTATTGGGCAAGTGAGCTCAGGCATGCACATTAAGAGACAAACCCTCAGTGTATGACTTTCAGAGATTGCTTTTTAATAAATGTCCACTCCTGCTATGAAACTTCCCTCAGTATCTTTCACTACTTTATACCCCTCAGTCAAATTCTTTCTTCTAAGAAGGCAAGAAGTGCAGTTACTACAGACCTGGATGGATTTGCCACCAGTAACTCAGATACCTTCCACTGTTAACAGGTCTAGGAGCTGGTGGACAGTGTGGCTGGAGTATGTGTCCAGAATGGGGTTGGCCAGGCTCCAGGCCATTCTCGACTGTGGAGGGACTTGAACCCCAAGGTGATGGCACCCCGTGGAGAGAGCTCACCATGGTTGGAGAATGCTGGGAAAGGAATTTTGTCTTTTTATTGAGGTAAAATTTCCATAACATAAAATTAACTTTCTACATGAATAATTCAGTGACCTTTAGTACATGCACATTTCTGGGCAACTACCACCTCTTAGTTCCAATTTTTATTATCCCAAAAGGAAATCCCATACCTACTAAAGAGGTACTTCCTAATCTGTCCTTTTTTTCTGACCCCTAGCAACCAGTAATCTGCTTTTTGTCTCTATCTACTTACTTATTCTGGCTATTTATATAAATGAAATCATAGAGTATGTGACCATTTATGTTCACCTTCTTTAACCAAAATGGTTATGAAGTTCCTCCACATTGCAGTGTTAGAGTTGCAATATTTTTACAGCTGAATATTATGCCATTGTATGGGAATACTAAATTTTGTTTTCCTATTACTTGTTGGTAGACATTTGGTTTGTTTCTACTTTTAGTTATTGTGAATAATGCTGCTATGAACATATGTGTACAGGTTTTTTGTTTGAATACCCATTTTACGTTCTTCTGTGTATATATCTGGGAGTGGATTTGCTGGGTTCTATGGTAATTCTGTGTTTAGCTTTTTGAAGAACCACCAGACTATTTTCCACAGCAACTGCACAATTTTACATTCACATTTCTCCATTTTCATGTTAACCCTTGTTAGCTTTTCCTTAATAATAGCAATTATAATGGATATGAAGTGATGTTTTCCTGTGGCTTTGACTTGTGTTTCCCTGAGGTGAGGATGTTGGACATATTTTCATGTGCTATTTGTGTATCTTTGGAGAAAAACCCTTGCAAGTCCTCTCTCTCTCTGTCTCTTTTTTTTTTTTTTTTTTTTTTGGTGGAGTCTTGTTTTGTCACCCAGGCTGGAGTGTAATGGTGTGATCTCAGCTTACCGCAACCTCTGCCTTTTGGGTTCAAATGTTACTCCTGTCAAAGCCTTCTGAAGAACTGGGACTACGGGTGTGCACTACCACACCCTGCTAATTCTTGCATTTTTAGTAGAGACGGGGTTTTATCATGTTGGCCAGGATGGTCTCAATCTCCTGATCTTGTGAACCACCTGCCTATCTACTTTTTCTTTTTCTTCTGTTCATACAATCATTGACAAAACCAGAATCAATAAGCACATTAAAAGATGCTCAACATCACTAGCCATAAGCTAAACAAATATCTAAACCACAATGAGATTACCATGTTTTACACATTGGAATGTCTATTTTTTTAAAGGAAGAGTTGGAGAGTATGTGGAAAAAGTAGAACTCTTGTGCATTGCTGGTGAGAAAGTGAAATGGTGGTGATGGTTGCACAACTTGAGAATAGTTAATTTCACTGAAATCCTCACTTAAAATGTTTGAAATGGTAAATTTTGTTATGTATGTTTTATCTCATACAACAAAATATTTCTCAGAACTGTTCCTAAGATAGTTCTATGTGTGAAGAAAGAAGGTGCTCCACTTCTAGGATGAGTAGGAGCCTTTTTATTCATGCTGGTACTACATACTCTTGGCTCTTCCACATGCCCAGCATGATCGCACCAGCCAGAGGAGTTGACTCCCACCTGGCCCATTTGTGCCTCTTTCCATCAGCCTGTTCTCCTACTCAGCTCACTACCTGCCACCTACAAACCACTTTAAATTACAGGTCAGTTTGCCATCGCTACACATTTCTTCTCTATAATGTCATGGAAATGGGATCATACAATATGTGGTCTCTTCAGACTGGCTTTTTCTGCTTTTCTTTATACGTGTATGATGCATTCACGGCTGTGCATGACCTCATAAATCATCCCTTTGTCTTGATGAATAGTATTCCATTTCATGGATTTACCTGGCTTGGTTATCATTTAAGGGTATCCTGATTCCTTAAAGTATTTGGCCATTATCAAGAGAGCAGGTATACAAAATTGCACGTGGTTTCTGGTTAATTGCGAGTTTCCAAAGTTGTTGTCTAAATACATCAGTGTGCAAATGTTAGCCTATATGGTTAGACTATGTTTAGCTTTGAAAAAAAAAAAAACTGCCAAAACTGTGGCTGAAGAAAAAAACACATTTTAACTTTGCTTTACAATTATGCATTCCACCAGCAAAGAACAAGTGTTCCTTTCACCGTTTTCATTGCATTTAAAAAATTTTTAGACATAATATAGATGGTCTGTGCTCTGTTTGTTAATTGGCTTTCCCCTGAGAGCAAGTGATTTTTAACATTATTTGGTTGTTATTGTTTGTTCATTATTCTATGATTGCTGCCAAAAAGCATGCATGTGCTGTGCCAAAGAGAAAGTGTTTAAAGAATATGCACTCTAAGCTCTACCTAGTAAAAACTTTTAAAAAAATGCTAGTACACATAGTCATTTATCCTGCTATTTGTTCTAATTTTATGGTTACTATAAGGAGATAGTAAACTCTAGCTAATGAGACAACGTGGTGAATTAGTGTGATGCAACTTAATGTAGAGAACGCTTTCAGTCAAGTGATTATTTTACTGGTGTTAAGGGAGCAACAGGAATTTCTTTAGTACAAGCTGTTTGTGTGGGACTTTTTTCCCTCTCACTCAGGCTGGAATACAATGGTGCAATCTTGGCTCACTGCAACCTCTGCCTCCTGGATTCATGCAATTCTCCTATCTCAGCCTCCTGAGTAGTTGAGTTTACAGGAGACTACCACCACATTCAGCTATTTTTTTTAATTTTATTTTTAGTAGGGACACTGTTTCCCTATATTGGCCAGTGTTGTCTCAAACAATTGACGGGTGACCCACCCTCCTCAGCCTTTCAAAGTGCTTGGATTACAGGCATGAGCCACTGTGCCCAGCTGAGCCAATTATTTTATCCCTTTATGGAGACAAGTGTGGGTTGAAAACCAACCTTCTAATACTTGTAAGTGCCTCAAGGCTGTTAGGATAAAAATAAAACTTCCAACCTAAGGATACTTGGCAACCTCCAGAACATTAAGAAAAGCTGAGAAATAAAACATTCAGCTTCCAGCTCATTTCAGGAGAGCATCACCAGTGCTTGGGGGACTCTTGGGCCCTGGAGGAAGGGCAGAGCTGGGATATGTGGGGATAGCCTTTGGAGCCACTGCTGCTTTGGCAGCCACTGCTGCTCTTTAGGGGACAGCATGGAGCCTCAGCCTTCAGCAGAAGCAGCAGGAGATCAGTGAGCAATGTTTTGTGTGCCTGTTTTCCATCTCCATTATCTTCCTTAAGTGAGGTATCTATTCAGGTCTTTTCCTTTTAATTGTGTTATAGTCTTCAGTTTTAGAGTTTCTTTTCATATTTTGCATACAAGTCACTTTTCAGCCTGTGGCTTTTTGGTTCTCTTTGGATTCTATTCCTTTTCTTTCTTTTTTTTTTTTTTTTAGACAGAGTCTTGCCCTGTCACCTTGGCTGGAGTGCAATGGTGTGATCTCAGCCCACTGCAACCTCTGGCTCTCAGGTTCAAGGGATTCTCCTCCTTCTACCTCAAGAGTAACTGGAATGTCATGACTGCCACCATGTCCAGCTAATTTTATTGTATTTTAATAGAGAAAATGTTTCACCATGTTGGCCATGCTGATGTGGAACTCCTGACCTAAGGTGATCTGCCCACCTCAGCCTCCCAAAGTGCTGGGATTACAAATATGAGCCACCATGCCTGACTTTAAAAATGTGTTTTATGGAGTGGCTATTTCAAATTTTAATAAAGGCTACATTACCAATTTTTGTTTCTTTCACAGACTGGACAATAACTGATTACCAAATCCAAGGATATGCAGATTTTCTTCTCTTACAAATTTGCTTTAGAAAATGTCAATGTATGAATATTTTTGAGTAATTTTTTTCAGGAAAACTATGAAGTTTGTGTTTATGTTTATTTTTTTCATTTAGTTTCCAGTTGTTCTGTTGCCACTTGTGGAACAGATTTATCTTTTCCATTGAATACTTTGTGCCATTGACAAAATCTGTTGAGTTGGGTCTGTTTGGGGGTTGCCAATTCTGTTCCACTTATCTACTTGTCTATTAAATCATCAATGCCACACTTTATTGCTCTAGCTTAGTGTAAGTATTCTGACCCAGAAGTGTAAGTTTTTTAACTTTGTCCTTCTATAGTCTTATTTCATTCATTCTAATTTTAGGAAGAGTTTGTTGATATCCTTGCCTGGATTTTGATTGGGATTTGGCAGAAACAATAATTAGTGTACTGCTTCTAAACAAGAAACCTCTTTCCTATATTTATTGAGACAGAGTCTCACTTTGTCACCCAAGTTGGAATGTAGTGGCATGATCTCAGCTCACTGAGATTATGTGACCTAAGCGCCCGAAGTAGCTGAGACCACAGGTGTGCACCACCATGTTTGGCTTATTTTTTTGCATTTTTGGTAGAGATGAGATTTTGTTGTGGAATGAGGAGTCCCAGAGAGGTCTTGGGGTACAGGAAGATTTTTACTGAGTGCACTCAGACTCAGTGGACTCAACATCCAAAAAGCTGGGCCCAGAACAAAGACAGCAGTTGACTTATACACATCTTCAAAAAAGGGGTAGGCTAGCTTGAAGCAGGCTTACAGTTACAGTGGCACAAAAGCAAGGTTACAGAGGCAGAACAATTTATAAAATTGAGACAGGTTCATAATTCAGAATTACACATGACACTTGCCAAGCAACCCAGATATCTATTAGGTAGGTTTTGCTCTAAAGAACCTTGCATTGGTTTATCTTATAACCTTCTCTATGATGCCCAGACAGCTGTAGTTCAGGTCTGCTCAGGCTTTCTGTGACGTTCTCTGTACTTCTTTGATAAAACAGAATACTTGAAGTTACTAGCTACAGAGAACAAGAATCTACAAACTCATACACTAAAACAAAGCAAAATTTGTTTTTCTACTCCCTGTTTTGAGGGAGTGCTAGGAGACTATCCAGAGCACATTTCTTCATGTATGAGCATCTCAGATAGTGTTTATCAAGACTTTTCTTGAGTCTGAGCTGTGACTGTTGCTGCCTGTGGAAGAGGTCAGCCTAATACAGGAATGCTTACTTCTTTTTCTTTTTAATTTTATTTTTCATTATATCTTTAATTTCCCTCCTCAGTTTCACCATGTAGCCCAGTCAGGTCTCCAACTCATGAAATCAAGTGATCTGCCTGCATCAGCCTCCTGAAGTGTTGTAATTACAGTCGTGTGCCACCATGCCTGGCCTGTCTGCATTTATTTATATTTCTTTTGATTTATCTCAATGGTGACTCATGGTTTTCTAAATGAATTTTGCTTATTTTGTTATATTTATACTTAATGGATGTGGTAGCACTCCTCACCAGGTGCTGGGGTCTGACGTGCAGACCCTGACCCATCAATGGATGAATAAAGTACCCTGACACAAAACTATTCTGTTTTGCCAGTCCAGCTGAGTGTATGTGGCATTTACAGACTCCCTGGAGAGTACTGTAAACACCTGTGACTTCCACCTCAATCAGTCAGTGAGACTTGCATTTATTTGGTAAAGATTAATTGACAAAGGTAGGGAGTAAACACTGAGGATAGCGGACACTGTGGACTTCCTGAGTGGAAAGCAATTAAGCACCCATGGTACATCAAAAGTTTGCTTTATCTGGGTAAACAAGCTAGCCAGATACACTACTCTGCCTTTCTTTGTACCCACTTTAAGCTGTTTACTTAAGGTAAGGATTAGATTGCCTTTAGCTGTAACCTTATCCTAAGACTTTTGTAAAAACTTTCAGGCCTTCCAAGAAGGTTTGCATTTATTTATATAACTATGTTTAAAATATTTCCCACCAGCCTGATTAAATTCCTACATCTCCCCCTTTTTCATTTTTTCATCAAGTCCTTTTGATTGGAAAGTGTAGATGTGTGCAGGAACAGTTTTTTTCAGGCGAGGCAGTCATTGCTCTTATTCTGGCTTTGCATCCTAAAATTGGAAAATAACACAAAACAATCATGAGTACAATTAGCAACATTCTTTTCCAGTCAAAGTGTGACCTGGTACTTCAGTTTGATGAGTGCTGTTACTAAGGTACTCCACTGGGGGTTTGTTAACTCCTTCCAGCCAAGCAGTTATGTTGTTAGAAGCTGGAAATGGAGTATCTCCCCAGATGACAGGGCTGAAAAATGTCAGATTTAGAAGATGGGTTTATTAGAGTGTAGAAAGTACAGGTAATAGGCACAGTGAGAGAATAAAAAGAAATAAATTAGCTGAAGTGAATGGTGTCTGTGTCCAGAGCAGGATTTGCTTAGCCTTCTGTTTCTTCAGCATAATGCCCAGGACCTGTGGCCTCTGTGGAAGCCACATCATCTGGGGCTGTGGGTCTTGCATGGTTAATGCCTTCATTTCTGGTACCAGATTGAGTCCTAGCCTTGCCATGGAATGGTTTGATGCTTTGTATTGGAATCCAAAGAGGACCTGAAGGGGTGTGGACACAAGCATACCTTCTTCTCCATGTTAATAATTCACTAGGACCACGCCATTCATTACTGTTTACATCCTTCCATAAAACTGCAGGTTTTATGCCTTGAGAGGCTTTAGCAAAGTGCTTTTCTACAGCTGTTGGATAAATAAGTCTTTGCCAATAATGTTGCAGGGTCTTTACCACTTCTGCCTCTTTTTTGTTTTTTGAGCACATTTTTAAAAGTGAAGTTGTCATGTTCTACTATTGCTTGTCCTTGGGGGTTATATGAGATACCTGTGGAATGTTGGATATCCCAGGTGTGACAAAATAGTTGAAATTGTGAGCTGGCATAAGCTATACCATTATCAGTCTTAATTTTTGTGGGTCACTCCATAAATGCAAAAGTTAAAATAAGATGTTTAATGATATATTGAGTTGACTCTCCAGGCAGAGTATGTGGACTAATTAAATGAGTGTTGGAGTCAACTGATACATATACATATCTTATTTTTCCTAATTCAAGGATGTGTGTACATCTGTTTGCCATAACTTATTAGGTTCTAGTCCTCTAGGGTTAACACCTGTTGAAGGAGGGAATGTGCCTGTAAGCTGGCAAGCTGGGCATTGTAGGATAATGTGTTTAGCCAGTGTCTGGGTAAGTTTAAATTGTTTAGATAAGTTTCTCCAATTTTGGTGGAAAAATTGATGCAATTGGGTGACTTGGTCAAGCAGTGATGTCATAACTTGAAGGTCTGCTTGATTATTGCCATAAGACAATGGTCCAGGCAGAGAGCTGTATACTTAAATATGTGTGATAAAATAGGATGTGTACTTTGGTCTCACCATTGCTGAAGACAGAAAAAATGAGCACATAGGGTAGAGTGTAGAGTGGACTTACTTAGGGCTGTAAAAGCTTTTTAGAGTCAATATTAAGGTTTTAACTTTAGCTCTCTGATTGCTAGTAAACTCAGACTGAGTGAGTGAATTATGTGGCATCTACTAGACTTCTGCCTTTCCATGTTGATCGGAACCAAGTGTAAACAGTGTTAAAGCATTAGGTGTGGAGGAGTGAACTATTTTGTCAGTAAAGCATTTACTAGACTTTTGGGAATCACAAAAATGGCGGAATATTAAGGGCTGTTAGTAGAATATCACCGATAAGATGAATAACTTTGCAATCAGGAAACTCTATTCTAGTGGGGAGGAAAGTTCACTTGTAATTATTCCTTAACTAACCCATGGTCCTATTGTAATGTCTCTCCCTTTAGAGGTTACTTTTTATTTAAATTGGATTTGGAGAGAATCATGTTAGGTGTAAGGAGAGGTAACGGTGGCCACAATTAGAAAGAGGTTTTTCAAATTGTTAAATTTTACGTACATCTTAGTAGAGCATTATAATCTGGGATGTCACCTGTAAACAAGAAACAAGATATTTTGCTGTGGGTGTGTCTCCTGTAGGGCTAGAGAGCTGACCAGGAGGGTCCCTGAGTGGTGGCTGCTTTGCACTTGTAAAGGTGCTGCTTTTTTTCCTTTGTTGGCTTTTTACTTGTGCCACTTCCTTCACCGCTGGCCAGCTTTTGCCCGCCACTGAGGGAAGAGGAAGTGATAAGGCAGGTCACGTTCTCTCCTGCTTCCCCTTTTTAGGCTCTTCTGTGTATAACGGAAAAAAGCCTGCTCTAATTAAAGCCTGTAGTATTAAAGCTGTTACTGGGAACCATTGCCTTTGCTTCTGATGTTGTTTAAGATTTTTCCCCACTTGTTCCCAGAGTTCTATGTCTAGAGTTCCTTCTTCTAGGAACCGTGGGCTTTGGGTTACAACAGTTTGCATTATTTGGTCCCTTAATTGAGCCGGCAAAAGTGATGCTCTGCCAGCCTTAAGCAATTGTTTCAACACTTTCATTTACTGTTTCTGTTCAGTTGATAACTGCTGTCTCCTGATGAAACCTCAGCTGGACCAATCCTCTCCGAATTTGGAAATCCCAAGTGGGCACCAATGACTTACTGATTACTCACTGACTTGACTGTACAGTCCCTCTTCACCTTCATTTTTGGGGGATCCATCACATTCCCTTCACAGTGTTCCTCAGACAAGGGCACCAACTGTGGTAGTGCTCCTCACACAGGAGCACCAGATGCAGGGGTCTGACCCACAGACCCTGACCTAGCGATGAATGAATGAAGTACATTGACAAACAGATATTCTGCTATGCCAGTCCAGCTGTGTCTGAACTGCTTACACGCTCCCTGGAGAGTACTGTAAACACTTGTGACTTTGACTTTGATCATTCAGTGAGACTCGCATTTATTATGTAAAGATTAATTGACAAAGATCCTTAGTAAACACTACTAGAGGGTAATTGACAATGGGGACGTCCTGAGTAGAATGCAATTAAGGACCCATGGTACATCAAACGTTAGTTTTAAGATCACATGGGTAAACAAGCTAGCTAGATAACCTACTCTACCTTTCTTTGTACTCATTTTAAGCTGTTTACTCAATGAAAGGATTAGGTTGCCTTCATCCATAACCTTATCCTGAGACTTTGGTAAAAACCTTCAGGCCTTCCAGGAAGGTTTGTGTATGCATCTATAACCATTTTTAAAATTTTTCCACCAGCCTGATTGAATCCCTACAAATTGATTCAGTTTGGGGAGTACTATTGTAAATGGTGTGTAAATGTTTCAAATTCCAATTATTCCTATCCATTATTGCTGATATAGAGGAAATCAATGGAGTGTGGTCTATTGGCCATCTTCTTTGCTTCTTCTTGTCTTCATTCCTATCAAGGCACAGGAAGGTAGACTCTATTTCACTTCCACTTCCTGAGATTACTGGCTGGATTCATCCTCCCTGTATTTCAGAGATTCTTTATGGCTGCCACTGAGGGCTCATGGAGAAGATGCAAGAAGCCCATGCAACATACTGCAGGGCAGCGTCCTGGGGGCATCAAACAGGCCTTCCTTCTACTCAGATGCCACCCAGGACATGACTTCAGTGCACTTGGGATACCTGGGTCTGCATCCACGGTGAGGATGACACCTCCTCTCCCCTGGAAAGGCCACAACATTGGGAAGTCTGGTTGCCAGGTGAGGAAAGCTGAGGAAAAGGTGTTCTGTCTGTGGCACCCAGTACTGAGGAGGGATCACTGCCCTAGGCCTTACTTCCACAACCCTGGCCTCCAACTCTGACGTTACAAAAGTGTTTCTTGAGTGAGGCTGTGACCTTGCATTGTCACAGCCACCAACATGTGCTTCACAGATGATCTGGGCTTGTTTCTGGGGAGAAATCCTGGTACAGAGAAAGGAGGGGTATTAAGCAGCACCACCGTGACAGGTCAAGGCCAGGGACACATTGCACCCTCCATCACCAATTTTACTCATGCTTTCATGGTTCATTTTTCTTACAGTGCTAAAGTAGTTGAAACAATATAGATTTTTTTTTTGAGACAGAGTCTCATTCTGTCCCCAAAGCTGGCAAGCAGTTGTGTGATCTTCACTCACTGCAAGCTCCATCTCCCAGTTCATGCCATTCTCCTGCCTCAGCCTCCTGAGTAGCTCGGACTGCAGGCACCCACCACCATGCTGGCTAATTTTTTTTTTTTTTGCATTTTTAGTAGAGACGTGGTTTCATCGAGTTAGCCAGGATTGTCTGGATCTCCTGACCTCGTGATCCACTCGCCTTGGTCTCTAAAAGTGCTGGGATTACAGGTGTGAGCCACTGTGCCCAACCAGAAAAAATTTTAAGTGTGTATATTAGAACTTACATCATTATATAAGTTTAAATATATGATGTATACCTCGTTAGCAACCATTTTTCTTTTGTTTAGACAGTCAAAGTTTAATTGAGAATGAATTTGTTATGGTACCAAAAATGCTGTTTTATAAAGATTGACATCCTGCTTTAGCTGAGATATACTAACTCTATCAAACTTTGACATTATAGCATATTAATTAAAGAAATTGGCCCTTCTGTTTTCTCAATCTTCACAATTTTAAATAAAATCAGAACCTAGTAAAAGTCAGTTAGCACTCGACCATGAGCCTGTATTGTTCAAATGTGACTTCCAGTGAAAGCCTGCATAATATGAACAAATTTCTCAAATATGTCCTGTTAAAAGGTGAACAGATGTTTACTGAACTTTTACAAATAACTATATTGTCATGAAAATAAGAACATTTTATAAGAGTTTCAGAATTCTGGAGGAATGGGCAGAGAGATGAAAGAGAAATGTCCTGATGAAAACCCTCAAATTCTGTAAAATATTTAAAGATATTTACTCTCAGTCAAATAAGAGTGACCAGTCACCCATGATACAACCCTTCTCAGGAGATTATGAAAAACGTGTGCCCAAGCTGTTCTGGGAACAATCTAGTTTTATACATTTTAGGGAGACATGAGAAATCAATCAAATACATGTAAGATATACATTGGTTTATTTCCCAAAAGTGGGACAACTTAAAATGGGTGGTGGTGCATTCTGATTGGCCGTTGGTTTAAAGAGTTAAGTTATCCAGAGACATGGAATCAATAGAAAGAAATATCTGGGTTACAATAAATAACAAAGGGTGTAGAAACCAAAGTTTTATCATGAAGAGGAAGCTAGAGAAAGGATTATAAATATTTCTTATCAGACTTAAGGTCTGTGTTGATGTTAGTGATGGTTAACTTTTTCTGAATTGCAAAAGGTAGGAGTGTATAATGAAGTATGTCTGATCCTCCTTCCTCTTAGGACCTGAACGAACTTTGGAATACCCTTAGCCAAAAAGAGGGGTCCTTTCAGATGGCTGGGGCAGGTTGGGCTTAAAATTTCATTTTTGGTTCACAAATGTTCCATTTCTGTTTACAAAAGTATAATCTATTAAGTTGTTATGAGTTAGGGTTAACTTAATAAAAAATTCTTAAATCCAGAGACATAGAATGTTAAAGAACCAGGAATCTTCCAAATCAAAAAAAGCTGTAAAATTTTTACACATTCTTTATCCATTCATGCAGTGCCATGTAATCAATTCCCATATTGTTTAATCTTGGGTTAGCAGTGCCATGAACCCATCAGTTTGTCAACTAGAGCTCTAGATATTGTTCCTCAGTTCTGTGTTATAATCTTAAAGTTAGTTAAACATTGACATCAGATTTTTATATCCAGAGGACCCATCATTGTTGTTTTTATCAGTCTCAAGGACGTTCTTTGCTGAAGACAAACATTCTGACCTGTAGCCCATGCAGATGCAGAGCCTGTTGGGAAAACATGAGATTGAAATACTACCTACCTGTACATTACAAAAGGTGTACAATGGCCATGGTTAAAACTGTAATGAAAGCTCATTATATCACAGTTAAACAGGAATTTGTCTGCTTCTGTGGCATACAAAATTTAAAATAGTAACTAGAATTATGACTCATGATATTATACTAGGGCATATAATAGATAGGGAGGACATTTACAAATTTCCAGGAATTCCATAAAGTTTTTGAAAAGATAATATTTTACCAATACAAATATAACCAAGAAAGTTTAAGCATATTTTCTTATTTGTATATTTTGTATACTGCTCATTTCATACTGTTTATCAAATGCTAGCATTCCATAGTAGATTGATAATTTATAAATACACCATCTCATAATTTCTAGAGGCATATGTTTTCTCTATAATAATGAGGCAATGTCTCATTCTTGCAGAAAATAATGTTTTTAAATAGATCAAAATATCTTCAGTCTCTCTGTGAAAATAAGAAGCTACAAATATATATGGTTCAATTTATGTTGAATAATGAAAAGTTTAGCATTTTATCTCATTTATAAACATTCTAGAAATTTAATAAACATCTTTTACTTACCATAACTTTAAGGTAGCAAATCACTAGAAAGATTTTATAAATTATTAGATATACTGTAAAACATAATTATTACTACAATAATGTTGGTCATAATAATGACAACTTAATTAAAATCAAATATAACTTTAAAGATTTTAAATATCTGCTGAATATAATATTAGTTTATTTGACAGGTAACAAAACAGTATAAAAATGTATGTCTGTTTTATTATTTAATAGTGAAAATTCTGAAAACATACTTGTTTTAGTAAGTCAAAATTATTAAAATAGTGCAACTTACCTGAGGTTTATCAAAATAATCTGCACTTGAAAAACATTTGGATCAGTTTCTATATTTTCTGAGTGTTTTGTTAATATTTTACTTAAAATATCTTACTTTTTTGAAGCCAATTTAGAACACTTTTAAATGATTTTAGAAATTGTTTGCAATGCCATCCAGAGATTTGAAAATATCACCTATAGAAAACATATGCAAACACATATACAGATAGATCTAAACAGATATCTTATAGCTTTAGTTCTAAAATTTTAGCCACAAATCAGGCATAAAAATTGTGATTGTAAATTTTAGATGTTCAGTTTACAAGATTAAGGGAACACACATAGCTGGTAAAGTACCATTTCTGGGTATATTTGTGAGGGTGCTTCTGGAAGTGTTTAAGAAGAGCCTCTATTGATTTAGTCATCATTCTCTTATTGGTACTGAGAGGGAGACTCCATTAAAATGAAGATTTCCTTAGTAGATGTGCATTTTCTTTACAAATGGATAAGTTCTGCTCTGTTTTCAGTTCTCTTGTGTCTGCATTTTCTTAAAATAATAGGTTCAAAATGATTTTTATACCCAAGAGGCTTATTTTGTGGTGGCATATTCTGGTTTCCTATAGTCATATATTGGGGGGCATATTCTGGTTTTCAACACCATCTTTCATAATTTCTGTACCATCATGATTTCTCATAATTTTTCATAATTTCTGTATTTTTCATAATTTCTGTACCAGCAGCCATGAATGAAATGCTGTTTTTTCCTCCAGCAATTCATTTGCCATGGTTTAAAAACGGTTTAGCAGTTCTAACAAATATAGATAGGCCACACCATCTCGTTGTGGTAATTTTTAGTCCCTTAATGATATATGAAGTTGTACATGTTTCTGTTTGCTTGCCATCTGTGTATATTCATCGGTGATGTGATCTGCTCAGCTCTTTACTATTTTAATTGGGTAGTCTATATTATTGTTGAGCTTCAAGAATCTTTGTATATTTTGAGTTAAAGTTATTACTTAGTTCTGTATTTTGAAGATATTTCTTCTCGGCTATGGCTTGTCTATTTCCTGAACTAGATTTTTTCACAGAGAATAAACTTTTAATATGAGAAAGTCTATATTGCTAATTATTTTTTCTGTTATGAATCGACTTTGATGTCATATGTTAAAACTCATGACCAAACCCAAGGTCACATACCTTTCTTTTTGTACTTTCTTTAAGAATTTGTATATTTTTATATTTTAAATCTCAGGACTATGTTAAGGAAAACTTTATATAAGTTGGAAAGTTTGCAACCGTTTTCATTTTATTTCCTGTGGTTTCCAGTTAATGATTCTTTCATAATTAAAACACACACACACACACACACACACACACACACACGCACACAAGAATAAGTTCCATTTCCATTTGAATTTCCAAAATGATGGCACTGAACAATCTGAACTCTGCCTTTATTTGGTGCCACAGGTAAGCCAGGAGGGGGCGCATGGTTCCCACATCATGACAACCACAGGGTGCAGGTGATGCCACCTTTTCTGACCATGGAGGCTCCCACGTGTTCAACATCGGCTGCTTTAGAGGACGAGACCTGCGTTCTGCTCAGCACACACTGAGCACCATCACCTCACTGGGGGACAGCTGGAAGCAGAGGTAAGTGAAAACCTTCCTCTGACTTATGAACATCAGGGATCCAGTAGAAAGGCCTTGTGGGGAAAATGAGAAATAAAATATTCCATGGTTTTTAAGATCGTTTTCTTGTAGTAGAAGCCATACTATGCGAACAGCCTACAAAGCCCTAATTCTCTTTTTCTAACTTCTGCCTGGAAAAAAAAAAAATTGAAGTCAGTTTTTACCAACATTCAAACCTTATAGCACCACCTAGTGGGATTTATTTCTCCATATGTGTTCATTGTATTAGCTCTTTGTACAAACCCTCTAGTCTCCTAATACCTCTCTCTTCTTTGTTCCTTTTTTCAAAATCAGGCTCCATGCCTCACTTACACACAGAAAAAATTCTTTTTCAATAACCCAGAAAAAAAAAAAAAACCTTAAGTGAAAAATTCAGGCCTAACTGCTGTCCCCATTAGAGGAAAGATAGTCATTCTATTTTTATGTTATTAAGATAGTTTTTCTAAAATGAGTTACATTGGCATTTTAACAACTAAAAAGGAGAATTACATGGGTAGTAGTCAATTGGCTCATTATTTGGAAATCCATAGTTTGACTAGAGCCATAGCTACAGAAGGCAGAAATGGGTGTTAGAAACACTCTCTCCGTTAAGAGATCTCACTGAAATCCAACTGCTGCATAGTCTCTCCCACAAACTTAGAATACCCTGGGGGATTTATGATCCAAGTGAGTCTAGAAAATGCAGAAGGGTAAAGAGTTCTAGCCTCAGAAAAGTGAGGATGATACTTCTGTAGACTAGCCCCTCCAGATACATGGGTGAAAATTATGCTTGCATTTATAGGCTCCACCTCTAATGGTTGCTGTGACCCAGAGGATGTAAAGAAAGTGGAGAAACGGGATGCCCTTTCTATCACTCTCTTCTCCCTGGGTCACTTTGAAAAGAAGGAAGAAGAGGGAGGAATGCCTCTGCTTTTTCCTTTTCCAGATAATAAACCATCTTTAGATTGCACTTTTCTCAAGTGTGTACTGAAGAACTGGGATTCTTTTAATCCTGAGACTCTGAAACAAAAGAGATTTATATTCTCATGCACAAGGGCATGATTATGTTACTAGCTCCAGGATAAACAGGGCTTTACTCCTGAAAAAAAAGTAAATTTTAGTACTCTTGCAGTCTCACAAATTCACCACACACAATGTAGAAGATTCTTTTTGTAAGGTATCACCCAGGTTTTTATTTTGTTTTCTCACATCCAAAAAATTAAAAATCTTGAACACAAAGGGTATCATTTGAGTAAAAGTTTAATAAGCTCTCTGCAGTGGAGAGTGGGGCCCAGGTAGATTACCCACTATGAGGCAGGGTTGGAGGTTTGTATAAGCTCAGAGGAGAAGAAATGTGATGACTGGTTTGAAACAGAATGACTAAGATTTTCTCAGAGTTTGACCCAGAACTAACCGGGAGCTGAAATGATTATTCATGGAGACCACTCAGATTTGCCTGGCACCTTGGCCCAGGGCCAAAAAGGAGGTAAAGTTAAACCTTGGCCTGAGATCTTAGCCTGAGACCAATCAGAGGCTGAAGTGATGATTCATAGAAACTCAGCTCCCAGTGAAAAGCATGTTCAAAAATAGAAAGAAAAGTGCCCAGCATAACCCACTGAAGCCAACTGTGTACATGCCCACAGACAAAGAATAGATTCTTTCCTGGAAGCCTACTGTCTGCACAAAGAACACAGGAATTTTTATGTCGAACCTTGCTCTCTCACCAGAGTACTTGCAGGCTTTTCTTAGAAACAAGAAAGGTGTGTCTATGTTTGGCCTTTTTTAAAAACAAACAAACAAACAAGCAAACAAAACATATAAATGGGCCAATGTTTGATCCAGTTTTCTTATCAGTGCCTGCAGCTTGATTTTATCAGGCTTTTTCTCTGCTTCCAGATATTTTACCAATAATCCACCACAACTGCTTAACATTTCTCTCTTATTTTCTCTCTCAGGAATGGAGACACTAACTGCTGTTAGGAAAGTGGAGTGATGGGCTGGGTGCAGTGCCTTATGCCTGTAATCCGATCACTTTGGGAGGCTGAGGAGGGTGGATCATGAGCTAAGGAGTTTGAGACCAGCCTGGCCAACATGGTGAAACCCCTTCTCTACTAAAGGTACAAAAAATTAGCCAGGTGTGGTACACACACCTATAATCTTAGCTACCCCGGAGGCTGGGGCAGGAGAATTGCTTGAACCCAGGAGGCAGAGGTTGCAGTGAGGTGAGATCATGTCATTGTACTCCAGCATGGGTGACATGGCGAGACTTTATCTCAATTAAAAAAAAATGGAGTGACAATATTTCTGGTTCCTTTTTTCTAAAGATAAGTATTATCTAAGTTACAGAAGTTAGGGTCTCTTCTGGGGCTGGTATAAGTGTCCTCAGTAGATAAGTGAATCCACACATCAACATTTGGAGCTTGATAGCCACTAGATGAGAAGACATAATTCTGGTTATACCATTGAGTATAGATGGTCCAAACATTAACACCACATATACAAGGAAAAGAGGTCTTAGCAAAGAAGCTAGTTAGGTCTAAAGAGAAGACTTAAATCTATTAAGAAAAGATCGTAGCCAACGGGAACAGAGTCCTCACTTTCTCTCAGTCCACTGACGATTTTAAGTAGGTCATTTAGCACTTGTATTTATTTCTTTATATTTTTACCTGACTAAAAGTGCTGATTCAGAAGCAGCATGTCTCATTGAATAGTGCATAGGCATTCTCTACTCAGGCCAAAAAGGCATCCAGAGTTTAATTATTCTTCATTATCTCTGAGGCTAGGAGATTTACCAATTGGCATTGGGCATCTGTGGCTTCTACAGTTGACTTCCACCCTTGTTGCATTATGATGAAAATACTAATGGCTAGTGTTTCAAGAAAAGTATACAGAGAAATCAAATAGGCCTCCTGATCTTGCATGTTTCAATTTTAATTTTCACAGTATAGGATTATAATGTGCATATTTTCCTCAATTCTCTCCCTCAAAACTCCATGTGACGGCATAGAGACAAGAGATTTATTTTTGTGTGTGCAAGAGAATCTACTCTGAAAAAGAGTCTCGACTGAAAATGTCACCAGATGATGGTGTCATTTTGGTGAAATATAAAAATAACATACCAGGGTCACTATTATTATAGTACCTGTTCCCGTTTAGTGTCTAGGGAGGATTAAATGTAGCCAGGGGCCACAGAGAAGGTAAAGCCCCATTTCCTAAACAGATGGTTCTAAGTTGTCATTTGTGAGGGTTCTTGCTAGATTTAGTTTGTACCTTGTAAGTTTACTCCTCCTATGTCTAAGAGGAGGTGTAATGTCCATATTCAGTACAGTTACTCAGTGTGTTGTTTGGAATTCTGCCTGCTGGTTTGGAATAATCTTTTTGGCAGGTGGAGTTTCAGAAAATCAGAGACACAGCATGTTCTGCCCAGTATCTTTGGTAATCCTCATTACAGGGGTTATTAGTTTAGATGTTTCCAGTTCTCCTGCATACATGTAGGATGCCACCATTATAAAATATTATACAAGCGTTCAGGATTCCATCTGTGGGCACATTTGGTTGGAAACAAGTATTATTTATTATCTGATAATAATGTTGGAAAGAGGCAGCATTTCTGCCTATGGGTAATAATTTCTACTAGAAATACCAAAGGAAAAGTCTGGTTAGATTGTTAATGTTTTTTCATAGTCTTTCCCAAGGTTTGAGGTCACCTGCACTTTTACTCTCCAGATCTCCACACTCTCAGCAATTACAAGATGGCGTTGCCATATTTGAGATTCTCCAAGTGTGGTTCCTTTTGCCTCTAAAGCAGAGAAAGTTGTTTGCTATTATTCTATCAACTTCACCTAGCCTAAGAGTTTGAGTCTTACATTCGAGAAATATGTCTTTCTGGATGGAGTTAAAAGTGATTCCATACAAGATTCCATTCATCCCTCTCAAGTGCTTAATTGTTAAAGGTGAAACTAACCAATAGAATACTAATATATTGAGTTCATATAATTAAAGCGTCTGTTTTAAATCTGATAAAATTTTTCAAGGCAAAACTAGAAGTTTGTCTTCTTGTATAGATGGGCAATGGCTAATATTGTAGGGACCTTGGGGTGCATGTCAGTGCTACGTCTAACAGTGAATGTTAGTAAACCTGACAGTAACAAAATCTTCATGTTTATTTTTTATTTGTCACTACTATTTTTGCTATAATGATAATGATTAAGTAAAATATTATGGTAATTGAGACTCTCTGTTTGATGCTTTACTCAGAAGGTGCTTCAGTTTATAACCCCACTGCAAGAGGTAAAGTAAGAAATGTAATTTCTATAAGTATTGTGTATTAGATAATTTTTATCTGATTTTTATTATAATACTTCTAGACTGTCAGGGACTGCTTTCACTGGTTTCCAGGCTTTCACTCGAGTGAAATAAATACGAGTCAATTTCCACCATCTTCACAGCTGAGGGAGTAAGGAGAAGAATAGTGTTAGGTCCCTCCCAACTGGGGTGTAGGGACAGGAGAGAAAGAGGAGGAGTCTACCCCAGTACCAACTCTTCTGGGTTGAATACAGGGGGATTTGGATTTTTGGGGTTGTACTTCTGATGATGTTTTCATTCCTCTTGAAAGTGGGGTCAGGGAGTTTATATGTTTAAAAAATTCAGAAGTCACTCATCTACTAAAATATCAATGTTAAGAGAAGGTCATACATAATAAATTTAAAGTAGTTCAAAGCCAGCTTTGTAGCGATGTACTTCACTGTCACTAAGGCCATGAAAAAGAGTAATTGAAAAGAGGTGAGTTTCTTGAGGAAGCTTCCTGAGGAATCTCTTGATGATATAATTTATTTTCTTCCCCTTTTCTGAAGACTGTGGTCTCCAGGCACAATGAAGATTATATTCTATGCCCAGAGCTCTTGAAATTCACTGGGTAATGGTTGCTTTAAATGAGGAGCCATTGTTGTTTTGGAGGCACTGAGGGAGGCCAGAGCAAAGAATTATTTTTTAAAATATTTCTTTTACTACCTCAAAGGATTTTTCTCTTCTACATAAAAATGCCTCCATACAGTTAGGGATACTGTCTACCTATACCAGCAGATACTGGGTTTTCTATGTTTTGGGTGTATGGGTAAAGTCTATCTGCCAACCTTCCCCTAGGTTTCTTTCCATTTTTTTTTGAGCTTGAGGGAGGAGAAGCTATCTGTTGGGGGGATTATTTTTAAGGTATATTTCACATGCATTTACAAACTGTTTGACTATTTTCAGTAGATTTTTACTGGAGAACATTCTCTGGATCAGTTGATAAGTTATGTTCTTTGTAAAGTGAAAAGTTTGCTGAAGGACATTAAGAACTTTCCACTGACTGGATGCTGACAAGTGGGGTTTTCTGCCTTTCATTTGTAACCATACAACAGTCTGAAAAATTGATTCTCCAGAAGTAGCCCATTCTATCTTTTCAGGGAGATACTGAGGCTTTATTTCTTCTATAATGCTTTCCCAAATAAGAAAGGCTTTAAATATTCTGGGAACTTGGGCTCTTTTTGCTACTGACTTGGCAACCTATTTTTTTGCTTTTGGCTATTTTATTAATCATTTTCTGGTGTCCTCTGTAATATATTACTGCTACTTCCCAGAAAGAAAGAAGAAAAAAGAAAAACTGAGGACACTAATCTATTTCCTGGTGATATTTAATGTAAGACCCATTAGCAGTCAGGAAATGTCTTTTTTTTTTCCTAAATAGTGGCATGGGCATAGAGAGCCAGAAGAAGCATACCTAGAATCAGTATGTGTCCACTGCCTTTTTCTCTAAATGGTTAAAAGACAATGAACATAGCTAATAAGTCTTGTGCTTTGTCAGAGAGGCATGCTGTCAAGAATATAAATCAGGGTGAATATTGCACACACTGCCTTAGAGGTATTTTGTTTTACAAAATAACTTTTCCCTCTAAAGAAAGTTCAGACAATTTTTCTAAAGAAATTAGTTTTAGGTTCTTTCTGGCTGCGCAGATTTTCACTACTACCTGTTTACAGTCATGTTCAGGTTGTTCAGGTTACTTCTTAAAGGAAAGGGAATAGGTTATGGGTTTTTTAATGGAACTGTAGATTCCTTAGAAGCAAAGTTTGATCTTTGACAAGGTGATTATCTGTTATCCAGAGACTTCCTTTAGAGGACACCCTACATTACGTGCGGTGTAATCAGTTAGAACATTCCCCATGCTCAACTTACTGGCTTGCAGTACATGCAAGGCCACCACTACAACTGCTTGGAGGCAACTTGTCTATGCTTTAGCCACCCAGTCAAGCTCTATGTTTATGTAACTTAGTGGTTGCTGGGCCAAATCTCAAGCTTGAGTTAAAACTCCTAAGCTATCCCTTCTCTTTTATAAGACATAAAGATGCAATGACTTATTTGTGGGTACACTGAGGGCCAGTGCTTTTTGTCAGGTTTGTTTGATCTGGTTAAGGTATTTGAGTTTTAGTTTCCTATGTCAGGAAGAAAGCCGAAGCTGCTTGAGATTCTTTTATAAGATAATATAAAGAAATAGCTGTTTCACCAAACCTTGGTATCCATCATCCTCAAAAACTTATAATGTCCAATGATCCTTTTAGATGTTTGAGTGTTTTGGGAATGGGAAAGAAGGAGATGGGATTAATTCTCTCCTTTACTAATGTTTTGGGTTTTCAACAGCCTTATTAATGAGACAGAGGTTCTGATCCAGCCTCCATTCTTCACTGTGTTTCTGTACCTCTAATATTTGGGTGTTGTTAAGACGTTGCAGAGTTTAAGGAAGTATTTGGCCTTTAGGTTATCTCTGATGGCAGCCATTTTCTACCTTTTGTCTATAAAAGATATTGCCTAACGCTAGGGTAAAAAAATAAAATAAAACTCTTAAGGCTAATCTGGACAAGTATAGCAGTTGCAGCTCTGCAAATTTTTCCTTGATGTGGCCAGACCTCTGGATTAACATTGGTTTTAACTAAGGGGAGACAAAGCTTTGTCCTGAAGCCGTTAGAATGATGGTGTCCATATAAGCTAAAATTACCTAGTAGAAGAGTGAAACTTTCAAAAATAATTAAATTGGGATATTTAAATACCAGGTCTCCACAACTACAACTGAAGGGTTTAGAAAATATCCTCTCTATTTCTACCTGGTAAAAAACTGCATGCAGTCTATACTCCCCTGTTTATTTTTTAACATGAGAACTTCTTTGACTCTGAGACTCTGGAGAAAAAAAGTGGCTTATATCATTTTGCACAAAGACTTGGACATTTTATAAGCAAGAGTTCTGAACTTCTTGGAAAAAACATAATTTCAATGGTATCCAATGACAACATCTTCACTTGCTATTCCAGACAACTGAGATCTTTGTAAGCTTTGTAAAATGAACCTGATTTCTTGGTAACCATTGAAAGCAAGTCTACAAATGGCAGATTTATAAACTTTTGAGGAATTCTCAAATGCAACTTTTGGGTGCTCTATCTGCCTCGCTTATAAAAGACCCCCAGCACCCATATTATCAGTTTCTTCAGTTGTGTCACCCAAAAAGTTTACAACTTCAGTGGGGCAGAAAATGCTCAATGAACTTCATGCTACTAACGTTCAAATTTTTTTTTCTCACAAAAGAACTTTAAATAAATTAAATAAAAAAGACTTAAGGAAGTTATCTGATGACCTTAATAAGTATATGAGGCTTCTAAAAATCAACCCAAGTGTTTCATCTTATGTGTAGTAGTGCTACACTACTTTAAAGCTATATCCTAACTTTTGTCAAGAAACAGGCAGTGCTAAAGGCAGTAGAGAGATTTGGAAATGAACAAGAAGTATTCTGCAACCAGTCAAATTAAAAAAAAAAGTCAAGAGTAAACAAAATAGTAAAATAGAAACTGTGACCCCATTTCCAATTGGAAGAGAAACAATGATTTTTGAAAATCTGAATTGGAGCCCTAGTGGTGCTAAGGTAAATGAAAAAAAAAAAAAAACACTTTTTAATGTGCATATTAAAAGACTTGCAAATAACAGAAATAAACATTTTAATTACTCTAAAACATTCTTGTTGAATCAGAAACAAGATAAAAATTTATCATCCTTTTTGGAAAGTTTGAGAAAACTTTAGTGAAACACATCTTTTTATTTCTCTAATTCAACTGAGACACAGATAATCTTAAAAGATAAAGTTATTTGTCAAGCAGCTGTTAATTTTAGGGAAAACTACAAAGTAGTCTGTAGAATCAGAGAGTACAATGGAAAACCTTCTTGGATTTACTTCCTCCGTATGCCACAATGAGAAACAGGAGAAAGAGGCCAGGAAAATGAGTAGAGGCACAAGAGAACAAAAGAGGCATTAGTGGACACTTTATAGGACAGTTGATCTATAATCCCTAAATACACTTGCAAATTACTACCAGTGTGGCAAGCTGGAACACTTGACAAAGCCTTGTCCAGGCATTTGGAAGAAGCTGTCTTAACCCTGTCCAGCTTTTGATGGAGACCACTGAAAGACTCCCTTTGTTTAGAGACATAGGTCACCATATCCAGGACCAGTCTTCAGATGATCAGGCAGAACTCATCTGTGCTGGTTCTCAATTTTTGAGCTTCAATGGCTCTAACTACCATTGCTATTTAGGAGTCCCAAGTAATTTGGGTGGCTAGAGGAAAAAAAAAAGCAAACTTTCTTCTAAACATTGCAATGAATCATTTTGTTCTCCTCTCCAATCCAGGCCTTACTTATTCATACAGTGAAGGAATTTAGCTGATTTGCTCTAGATAAACAGCAAAAGAAAGTTTCCCATAAAATCCCAGCTAATGGGTCAGTGCCTTATTTTCAACAACACGTAAAACCAGTCTTGAAAAATAAGCTGCAGGCACCAACAAAAATTAGTACATGGAGTTATTATTGCAGATAAACCCATGGCTCCAAAGATAGGAGAATCTTTCACCCACTTAAATAAAAACTTGCAGAAACTCTGGCTCACACGTCTAAGGGAACTAGGCCTGACATAAAAATGACTTTGACTTTTGCATAATCAATGGGCTCCATAAAAAGAATTTCTTCTGTTTGTGGACATTAACACAGTGGGATCCAGTGGTTTCCGGGCAGTCACTATTTTGTTGTTGTTGTTGTTGTTGTTTGCTTGTTTGTTTGTTTGTTTCTTAATTCTGATTTGTCTTCTATTAAGTATTTCGTCCCTTGATTTGTGCTGCTTTAAAGTTGTGGGCCAAACTTTCATTTTAGCTGCGTATAGATTTTATGACAAGCTGAACAGCCTCCAGTAATCATCACATCAGCTCTGATTGCTACTGGACCAACATTTTGGGGAAAGGTTTCTGATTGATCTCAAGCCAAATTCCCAAGCCAAGGTGAGTCACACATTCTCCAAGACAGCCTGCAGAATAAGCACATTCCTTCCCCTTCTTAGTTTATAAAGACCCTGGAATAAGAGGTGAATAAGCCCCTCTCATAATCTGTGTTTTTCTTAAAGCTATGCTTGTTTATTAAGCCCTGATAACTGCATTAGTAACCTTGTCCTTAAAAGGCCTCACCCCCAGTACTTTGGGATCCTAAGGCAAGTAGATCACTTAAGGTCAGGAGTTCAAGACCAGGCTGGGCAACATGGTGAAACCCCATCTGTACTAAAAATACAAAAATTATCTGGGTGGGTGCCTGTAGTCTCAGCTACTTGGGAGGCTGAGGCAGGAAAATTAATTGAGCCCAGGAGGCAGAGGTTGCAATGAGCCAAGATTCTGCCATTGTACTCCAGCCTCAGTGACAGAGCAAGACTCCATCTCAAAACACACACACACACACACACACACACACCCCTCCATAGGTGAATAATCTGATGAGAAAAATGGAAAACAAAAAATTGTATAACTAGTATATTTTCTGTTGGTTTGTTTGGTTATGTATACATTATTTTTATTAAAAGATCTCTAATTCATTAGCTTAAGAAAAGATAGCCACTTGACCAAAATATTATGAAAAGGAAAAATAAAGGCTGTGGTAGCTTTCAGTTCATGTGACTTTAACTTTTTAAAAATAAAGCACCCTCTGCCAGGCATGGTGGCTCATACCTGTAATCAAAGAACTTCAGGAGGCCAAGGCAGGTGGATCACGAGGTCAGGAGTTCAAGTCCAGACTGGCCAAGGTGGTGAAATCCTGTCTCTCCTAAAAATACAAAAATTAGCTAGGCATGGTGGTTGGCACCTGTAATTCTAGCTACTTGGGAGGCTGAGGCAGTGCAATGAGCTGAGATCATGCCACTGCACTCCAGCCTGGCAACACAGCGAGGCTCTGTTTGAAAAAAAAAAACAGCCTCCAAGATTATTGATAAAATGCAAATGTCTTCCAGATGTTAATATGTGGTCTATATTATGCAGGTAAAAAATGTAAGTTTCCTAATTGTTTGAAGGATGTAAACTACTTCTTTGTCCTTTGAAAACCATAGGCTTGCCTGCTTCACTATTGGTATAGCCTGGGGACATATAAAAGTAATCACACCTCTAAGTAAGCTGAGAGAGTCAGCCTTTATCTGCACTTAGCACACAATTAAAACAACTTACCATGTTTTACATTCAAGTGAAAAATTACAAAATGTTACCATTATAACATGTGATTGAGACTACTAAAATTAAATTTTCATGTAAGGTGTATAAGAAAAGTAAAATATAGTAAAATTTATAAAATGGCATGTAAATGCTCATTTATCTTAGAGATAAAGACTTCTCTTAAATCAAATCACATAAAGCTAAAGATTTAAGCAGATGGAAGAACAACTGTACATGTTAATCTTGCAAAAGAAAATGCTGTCTGAACACATTAAATAAAAAGGGATATATTATATGGTTACTCTATAAGTGAAGCATTGAAATAAAAGTGCAGCGCGGTTTTCTTGAGATGCTAATCTGCTCTTTAGCAAAATGTGTAAAGAGTTGTTAAAGGGTTTTAAAAAGTTTATGAAAACCTCACCTCGTTGTTAAACTGATTAAGATAAATTTGTCTATAAGGTTTAATTTAAAAATAGCAGTAAATTGGACTGGCACAGTGGCTCACGCCTGTAATCCCAGCACTTTGGGAGGCTGAGGCAGGCAGATCATGAGGTCAAGAGATGGAGGCTGATGAAGGAGAATGGCCTGAACCTGGGAGGTGGAGCTTGCAGTGAGCTGAGACTGTGCCACCCCAAGCTGGGTGATAGAGTGAGCCTCTGTCTCAAACAAACAAAGGAAAAAAAAAAGAATAGCGGTAAATTTAATAGTGGACTAATGCAACAGTAAAATCTGTTTCCACTCTAGAACAAGATTTTTATGTAATATAAAGGCTAATAACAGTAGCTTTTTGTCACTTCAAATTTTTAAATTTATTTTGGCAAAACAAATGACTTATGATAATCTTTATATTTTATAACAGTAAATGTTTTAAATTTCGTACATATTTGGCAGGCATTTCAAAAACAAATTTTTGTTACAGAGTTGTCCTTTCTGAGTCCTCGATTTTAAATGCTACAGAGGGCTCCCATTTCAAACACGTCTTTAACATGTATTTTTAAAAGTATTTAACAACCTTATGCATTTAGGTTGTTTAAATACATGTGGTTACCAAGCTAATTTTAATTTTCTTCAGGTTACATTTTAGTAAATAATATTAACATAAGTTTTGTAGCCATATGCGGTGTCAAAGTTCTAAGGTCTAAAAAGGCTATCAAACTTAATCAAAATTATTATGTTTAGCCATTGTAAACCATAAAAATAGCCATTTTTTGTCAACGAGTGTCTGTAACCACTTTAGGCATTCTGTCATTTACAGACAATTGTTTTAATCCTTTTCTAAAAATGGTTTATAATTAGCTGTAGGACTTTAACAGCTGCTCTCAAATGCAGGTTTATAATTAGATATTAACAAAACTCATGAAAAGCTTAAGAAAATGGACTAAAAACACTGAAGCCATTTTTTCAACATTGACTTCAAATATTTCTGTGTATTTTGTTTTTCAGGGTTAAGGGAACTTTCTTTTGTGCAGGCAACAGTGTTCAACAACTGATTAAAGTATACTATTGTAAAAAATATAAAAATATTTTATTTTTCCCTCCCTGTTTTCTCTAATACTTGGTAACTAATTTTTGCTTTTCTTAACTTACAGCAATATAGTTGTTTGCATCAGTGCAAAAAAAAAATTTGTTTTAACAAAACAAAACTGGAAAAAAACTGGTTATTTTACTGAGGCTTTGACTGAAAGGATATGTTTCTCTTTAAAGAATAAAGCTTGAGGCAGGGCATGGTGGCTCACACCTGTAATCCCAGCACTTTGGGAGGCCAAGGCGGGGGTGGATTGCCTGAGGTCAGTAGTTCAAGACCAGCCTGACCAACATGGTGAAACCCCATCTCTACTAAAAATACAAAAAAAAAAAAATTAGCCTGGTGTGGTGGTGAGCACATGTAACCCCGTCTACTTGGGAGGCTGAGGCAGGATAATCACTTGAACCTGAGAGGCAGAGGTTGCAGTGAGCTGAGATCACACCATTGCATTCCAGCCTAGGTGACAAGAGCAAGACTTCCTCTGGAAAGAAAAAAAAAAGAATAAAGCTTGACTTCAATAAACAACGTAAAGTCCCTTAGGGAAAAAAATGGCTTTAAACCTTGTCTACACCATTCCCATTCAGGGTTCTGAACCTGTGGTAGGTAGAGAATATCACTTTCTCAAAAGCCTCAAAACAACCCCATGCTTTTGGTAACTCAATAAGAGAGGAGTTTACCCAGCTCAGTATTTAAGGGTACAAGCTCATGGCTGGTCTCAGCTTTAAAACTTCCTGAGATTCCTTGCAGAACGGAGTTCCATGAAAGCCAATTGAAAAAAAAATGTAAAGGTAATTATTCTTGCCTGCACTTTATAAAACTAGGCCAAGTGGAAGACTGACATCTATTTTCCAAACAATTTAGTTCTATCATGATATTTTTTTACAAAAATATGAACTGAAGAGAAATAATATGTTTCAAAACTTATTGTACTTCTGTCATTAATGCATAGTCTCATAAGTTCTCATAAGTTGTTTTTAAGTTGTTGCCTACATTTTAAACTAACCCTGCTGAATCCCATGAGCCAATTAATAATCTTTGACTTTAGATCAAAGTAAACAGAAAGTAATGAGTAATTTAAAAATTTGTTACAATATTATATATAATTCTTGGCAAAAATCCTACAAATCCTGCCAGTTGATGAAAATAAATATGGTTCCCATAATACAGAGGCTTGTTTGTATTTTTTTAATTAAAGCTGAGTTCCATATACCTAAATCTTAGCAGGCATAACTGTAGCCATCAGTTATAAGGGTGTGTCACCAGGCTTGGGACACTTAAGCTGTCCTTAGCCAACTTGTCTTGTTACAATACATGTCCTTTAGTAACTCTATTTTTTTTCCTTGAGGCTGTCAACTCCAAATAGTAATAATGCAAGTAAGACCACACATAAAATCACCTATCTTCTGAGGACTCTGAAACAATGTCTGAAATAAATTCTAACTGCTGTTTTTTACAAACACCCCTCTGCAGCAGAGAGTAGCCAGAAAGATCAACACTTAATCTCCCTAAAGCAGTTAGGTTCTTTATTTCTGAGGGGAGACTGAGAAAAGTTAGCTAGCTTCTCTTAGGTAAAAAGCAAGGCAAGGGTTTCCAGAGAGCCCCAAGCAGATATGTCAGTGCCTCAACCAAACATAACACAACAATCAGCCTTAAAAGAAATTAAGCTGAAACCACTGATACAGGACCTAACACAGTGGCTACTGCCTGAACATATTCCTGCAGCTACACAGACGGAAGAACCTCCAGTCCATTCTGGAAAAAAAAAAAAAAAAACTTGCACAAAACTCAGGCTTACACAGATGAAAGAAAGAGGTGTGGCATAGAATATTTTTGTCCTTTGTATAATCAGTGCCCCACACCCACAATGAGAAAATTTTATTCTCCTTTCACAGGCATAAATTCAGCAAGCTTCAGTGGGTTCTCATTCGCTCTATTTGTTGTTGTTATTGTTCAGACAATAAGTCCAGCTTCTAAGAATTATCACTTAAGCTCCTGACTGATCCTGGGCCAAACTCACAAGCCAGTCTTTCATTTGCATTTTTAAGTCTTCTTGGGCTATCCTGAGCAGTCTCTATGAATTATCACTTCAGCCTCCTATTGGTCCCAGACCAAGGTCTTAGGCTATGCTTTCTTACTGGTCCAAGACCAAGGCTAAGACACATTGTATAAGATAGCTGACAAACTAAGAACATCCCTTTCTCTTTTCAGTTTATAAAAATTTTAAACACTTGCCTCATAGTTTGCAACTCATGTGGGCCCATATTTCTGCTGGTGAAATGATCTCTTCTTTTGCATATTAAAGTTTTCCTCAAACTTTACCCATGTGTTCATGCTCCTTAATCTTCTAAATTGTGTGTCTGTGTAGGTGTGTGTGTGTGTGTATATGTGTGTGTGCATATACATATATATATATACACACACACATGCTATGTGTATTTATACATATATCTATATACACAAACCAGACTGTATATATACACTTACATATACTGAGTAGTACATATGTGTATGTGTTGCTCTGAGCAATATCTAAAACAAAAAAGAATTGTTACATCTTGTTGCACTGCTAAAACTAGTACATTATCCGGTCATGTGACCTGCTTTGTAGCTTTTTTTTTTTTTAAATCAAGACTGCCTGAAAAATAAACTTCTTTCTTAAGATTAACTGGTGCTCAACTGAGTCAGAAAATACAGAGGTGCGTTTTACTCACCCTCTCTCAGCCTTTCCATAAAGATTGAGGGATTCTCATCAAGTTTTAATCTATTATGTTTATCTTAGAGTAATTAAGAGGTTTGGCACTGTTCTTTTACTAGCATTCCTGTACATGCATTCTAAATTTTTATTCTTTTCCACTCCTCTATCAAATGACGGGGATTCCAATTATGTTTTCAAAGAGCACTGTCTTTTTTCCTGTTGGGAATAAAGATTATGCTATCTGTTCACCTTAGTTTTGTCTTTCACCATCCGTTTTTCTAGATTTCTTTCCCTTTATACTTTTAGGCTGGGTATAGTAAATATGTTGTTCATCTTCAAATGCTTTTGCTGCTAGTAAAGCTGCCAATTTTTCTGCAGCTTTGGTTTAGGATTAACGTAGCATGTCTCCACATACAATGAAATACCTGTGTTAGATTTTGGAATGCCTCTATATATCTATTAGAGTCATCAGAGAACTCGACTAGATTTACATTTATTTTTCTAAGGCCCTGCAATGAAAAGAGAACTTGAAATCTAGTAGTACCACGTTTTTTTGGCATTTTCTACAGGGCCCACATTGAAATTGATGGTTTACAGGGTGGAACAGGGAGAGAAACTGATGACATGGACATTAGAAAGCCTATAAAAGAGGTGCGGGTAGGGCATTTAGAAGTAGAATTTAAGGGTTTACCAAGGGTTTGTGTCTCTGACTTTGGGGCATTATCTTTTGTATGCCTGCTTTCTATGATGGCCAAAGCTCAGAGACAGTTTTACAATACTTACAAAGATCTGGGTTATCTACCAAGGCAACGGAAGATTGTACATTGGAAACGCTGTACATTTCTAGGCTGCATCTCTGTTTAAAGAAGTTTTACCAATGACACCTACTAAGTTTCTCTCTCATTGTCCCCTGCAGGTGTGAAAACACTAATTGCTGTTAGGGAGATTGAGGATTGATCTTTCTAGCTACTTTTTGCTAGGAAGGGTCATCTTGTAAGGAAATACAACAGCTGGAGTTCACACTGAGGTTAGGGTAAGGTTTTTCAAAACCACGGTGTTTACATAAGTGGTTTCGTTTGCAGTACAATTTGTTTGATTGCCTCTATGTGAGATGAAACAATCTTGGTTATCAAAATATAAAGTGTTAAAATGAGACGAGGTGAGGAAAAGGATAGCTTAAAAATTCTGAGGCTGCTGACATGCCCTTATAACTAATAGCTATAGATATGCTTAACAAGTTTTGGGTGCATGGGGCTTGGCTTGGCTTAGCTTCCTTGGTCTTGTCCCCCAAAACAAAAAACCCCCTGAATTATGAGTCAACTATATACTCTCATTACCTGGCAAGCTTTGTAGGGTAATTGCCCATAACAAATATATGTTTACATATTTTGCAATATTAATATTTTTATATTTTCAACCTAGCTGCAGCTAGAGATTTCTGGCTGGCTCACAGGGATCAACAGGGATAGCCTAAAATATAGGCAAATGCTAAAGACAACTAATGAGATGAGAATATAATGGCAAACATATGATAAGATTTGAAACATGTAGGCTAGTTGAGGTAGCTCACACCTGTAATCCCAGCACTTCAAGATCAAGATCAGCCTGACCAACACATAGAAACACCGTCTCTACTAAAAATACAAAGTTATCCAGGCATGGTGTCACATGCCTGTAATCCCAGCTACTTGGGAGGCTGAGTCATGAGAATCATGTGAACTCAAGAGGCAGAGGTTGTGGTGAGCCGAGATAGTGCCATTGGCCCTCCAGTCTGGTAAACAAGAGTGAAACTTCATCGCAAAAAAAAGAAAAAAGAAAAGATTTAAACATAATTTTTCTCTCTTCATTTCTTATTACTGTAAATAAACAAAGTATGTTAGGCCTGAGTTGAAAATAGTAAAATGAACTATAATTTTATATTTAACCTAAGTATTTGCATAAAGTGCAGCAAAAATAATTATTTTTAAATAGTCTCTCTAAATTGGCTTTTACGAAACTGTTCTTCAGGAGGAAACTCTGATAAGCACTCTTAAAGCCAAGAACAACTATGGGTTTTACTTTCAAATACCTATGAGTTGGGCAAACTTTACTCTTCTTGAGGTCCAAAAACATGAAAATCCTGGGCCTGTTAGCAAGTGACATTCTTTACTCACCACAAGTCTGCAATATTTTGTGGGTTTTTAATACATATCAGGAGGTAATAAATGCACACTTTATCTGTCATATAAATGAAGTTCTTCTCTCAATCTTTCCCTAGATAGCTTTTCAGATATTGAGCAGCAGGGATAGAAACTGTCTTTTGAGATTATTATTATTTTTGAGATGAAGTCATGCTCTGTCTGCCAGGCTGGAGTGCGGTCATGCAAACTGGGCTCACTGCAACTCCTGCCTCCTGGGTTCAAGTGATTCTCCTACCTCAGCCTCCTGAATAACTGGGACTACAGGTACATACTACCATGCCCAGCTATTTTTTTTTTTTTTTTTTGTATTTTTAGTAGACATGAGTTTTCACCATGTTAGCCAGGATGGTCTCAATCTCCAGCCCTTGTGATCTGCCCGCCTTGGCTTCCCAAAGTGCTGGGGTTACAGGCATGAACCACTGCACCTGGCCCAAGAAGATTATTTTTAAGGCAGGTTTCAAAAGTATTAAGAATCTGTTTGACTCTTTTCAGTAGTTTTTTTTTCTTGTTGTTTTATAAGTCAAAACTTGGTGGAGGACATTAAAAACATTTCACTGGCTGAAGGCTCATAATGCAATTATAAATATTTAGAGTGCTGAAAAATGTATCTTTCAAAAGTGGTCCATTCTATCTTTGCATGGGAATACTGAGGCTTTATTTCTCTAATGAAGCTTTCTAAGACAAGAGAGACTTCCAGTATATTGCAAAATTGTTTTTTTTGTTGTTGTTGTTGTTTGTTTGTTTGGCTCTCTGGTTTCTCAATCTATTTTTCTTGGCTGCTTTATCAGTCCCCTACTTGTGTCTTCTACAATGTAGTACTACTACTTTCCATGAAAGAAAAACAGGAGAAAAATCTATGTATATCCTGATGATACTTAATGAGTGACTGTCAGAAAATGTATTTCTTTCCACAAAGTGGCATGGTCATAGATGATCAGAAAAGCATATTTAAAACCAGTATAAATATTATAAACATTTCTTTTTTCTTTTTTTGCTTCATTTGAGTGTTCTCACAAGGGCAAGTAACTCAGTGATTTGAACTCTGGTGCCTGGTAAGAGAGGCATATTCTCAGTAATATAATTCAAAGGGACTACTGCATACCCTAACTTTGGTGTTTCTTGTTTTAGGAAAAAGCTCCATTTCTACATTTACTAAGGGAGTTTCTTTGAGGTCCTCTCTGGCTGTGTAAGTTTTCACTACTCTCTGTTAACAATCATGCTGAGACCAGCTCAGTTGGTGAGACCCTAACCCAGTGGCAGTAGTGGAATTAAACACACACACAGAAATAAAGAGGTGTGAAGTGGGAAATCAGAGGCCTCACAGCCTTCAGAGCTGAGAGCCTCAAACAGATATTTACTCACATATTTATTAACAGCAAGCCAGTCATTAGCATTATTTCTATAGATATCGAATTAACAAAAAGTATCCCTTATGGGTAATGAAAGGATGGGCCAAATTGAAGGAATAGGTTGAGCTAGTTAACTGCAGCAGGATCATGTCCTTAAGGCACAGATCATGAATGCTATTGTTTGTGTTTAACAATGCCTTTAAGTGGTTTTCTGCACTGGGCAGGCAAGGTGTTCCTTGCCCTCATTCCCATAAACCTATAACTTTCCAGTGTTGGCTTTATGGCCATCATGCACATATCAGTGCTGGAGAGATTTTGTTTATGGCCAGTTTTGGGTCCAGTTTATGGCCAGATTTGTGGGGGGCTTGTTCTCAACATGCTCCCTTCTTTAATTTTCAAATTGATAAAAGCAAAGGCAGCTTTGTCATGGTGAGCTACTTCTTGCAGGAGTCAGGATCCACATCTACAGACTATACAAACAAAAACAACACAGATTAAAAGCACAACCATTATTGAAATCACAGAGCTTCCAAGTGTTTTGATCCATTTTAATGGGTTACCAGCTGCTAATCTGTCTGCAGCTCCTTTAAGCACTCCGGTTCCTGACATTAAGGTCAGGTGTGCCTGGGATGCTTTAAATATTTGTTCTTTTAATTTTGCAATATATGCTTTTTCATTCTTTCACAAATTTTGATCTTATTAAGAGGTATTAATGGTTTCCACAAATCCTTATGTTTAGCTCCTACAGCAGGCCATATCATTTGAGGTTGAGGCGTAACTATACCACCATGGTTCCAGAAAATAGGAACTCTTGCCATACTTCTTATCATTTCTACCATCCTACCATTTTGTTCAGGCAAGCTGAACATAATGTGGCCATGGCACGCAGACTGAGAGGTGCAATTCAAGAGAAACATCCCCTTAGGGGATCAATCAATAATGATTCCATAGGAATCATTGTGCAGCACCTCTGCCTGTTCTGCAAAGAAATTTTCCTAAACAATTACATTCATTATTTCTGTCCAGGTTCTATTTTTTTACAAATAGGTTTTTGAGGGCAGTATGCCTCAATTATAGGGGCAGATTTATTATGTAAAATACTGAGATCAGAAGGCATGTGTAACTGTGGCATAGAGTGACTATATCCAGGCATTATTACCAGACAGGATTGATAAATATGCCCAATAAGCATAATTGTTCTCTGTGTCAGCCTTTGTTGAAGGAATACTCACAGCAGTGGTGATAACTGCTATGATAGCTACCATTAAATTACTCATTGTGACTGGTTGTACTGCTTTCCTCAGGTTTTCTTCCGCCATCTTTGACACCTTCTTGATCTGTCCCCAGGTCAGTGGCTGTGTTCAACAGGTGTTGCTCATGACAGTTGGGGTGTTCCTCAGAGGCATCCTTGATGTGGCTGCAACTGGGGGATCCTCGGGATCCTCACGGAGTCTCTTCCTTGGCATCTGGCTCATGATAAGGTTTCAGGTGTCTTCATGGTGTCCAAATTGGTTGTTGATTTTGGCCTGGAGAAACACAAGCATAACCTCCACCCCCAGTTATTATTTTACCTATTTCCCAATTTCGTTATTGTATCTCTCCACCAAATCAGTTGTTCTGCTTCTGTCTTTGCAGGTGGTTTCTGGAGATGCTGTTCAGCTGCTGATAACATCTGGCCTTTGGACAGGCTCAAAAAAATTAAAGCTAATAATGCTAGATTCAGTTGCATCTATGGGGTTCCATATTCTCCATTTCCCCCTTTCTGCTTTTGCAACTGCTGTTTTTAGGGAAAGATTCATTCTTTCCACTATGGCTTGTCCTTGAGAATTGTATGGGATACCAGTAATGTGTTTAGTATTCCACATAGAGAAAAATGTAGCTAGAGTTTGGATAGTACAGCCTGGGGCATTAACTGTTTTAGTAGAAGCTGGAATGCCCATCACCACAAAACACTGCAAAAATTGATGTTTAACACAGTCAGAAGACTCACCTGATTTGCACATAGCCCAGAAAAAGTGAGAAAATGTGTACACACATATATGTACAAAAGCTAGTCTCCCAAATGAGGAAACAAGTGTGATATTCATTTGCCAAAGAGAGTTAGGTTCCAATCTTCGATGATTAACTCCTCCTATAAAAGATGATGAATGTACGATTTGGCAACTTGGGCATCACTGGATAATAGCTTAACTTATTTCCAGGTAATGCTGTATCTGCATTTGAGACAAGGCATTAACATGGGTTAAATTGTGAAAGTGTCTAGAATTAGATACTGCATTAGCAATGAGGTGATTAGCCATTTGATTCCCTTCAGTCAAAGGTCCTGTAAGAGGTGTATAGCCCTAGTGTGAGTGATGTAAAAAGGGTGCATTCTACTTCTAACTGCTGTTTGCAGTTGGGTAAATAAAGGCATCATTTGTTCATCTGTATCAAATCATAACTGAGCCTTTTCAATTAACTGTGTGGAATGAAATACCTATGAAGAATCAGAAATCACATTAATAGGCATATCAGAAGCAGTAAATACTTCAATTACAGCTACAAGTTCCTCTTTTTGAGCTGAAGTATAGGGCTTCTGAAAAAGTTTACTTTTCTACCAAGAATAAGAAGCTTTACCATTACCAGGCCCATCTGTAAAACAATGAAAACGCTTAGCAGGCTGCAGATTGTTTACCACAGGAATTGTAAATGCAAACCATTCACAGTCATGCTCAGCTAAGGGGATAGTTAAGAAACAGTCTTTTAAATCTATGACTATTAAAGGCCAATTCTTTTTGGAATTATAGCAGGAGAAGGCAATCCTGGCTGTAATGCTCCCATAGGTTGTATAACTGAATTGATAGCTCTTACGTCAGTTAACATTCTCCATTTACCTGATTTTTTCTTAATTATGAAAACTGGAGAATTCCAAGGGGAAAATGTTGGAGCTATGTGCCCATTTTCTAATTGTTCAGTAACTAATTTCTCTAGAGCCTCCAGTTTCTCTTTATATAGCAGCCATTGTTCTATCCAAATTGGCTTATCTCTTAACCATTTTAAAGATATAGCTTCTGGAGGCTTAACAATGGCCGCCATGAAAAATTGTTTCCTAATCTTTGGCAAGAATTTGTCTTTCCACTTGAAGATTTTGTTTCAACCCTTGCAGTTTTTTTATAGTCTCATACCAGGAACATACCCCATTTCATGCACCATATGTGGACTTTGAGGGCTATATAATTGTTCTGGAATTAGAACTTGTGCTCCCCATTGTTTTAATAAATATCCTCCACATACATTTATAGGTACCAAAGTTATAATTGGTGGAATAGTCCCAGGTTGTCCATCAGGCCCTTCACAAAGCAAAATAGAACTACTTTGATATACTTCAGGGGCTTTACCAACTCCAACTCTGTTAAAATGAGCGGGTTGAATTGGCCATCTGGATGGCCAGTGCTGTAGAGAAATGACTGAAATGTCCACTACTGTATCTACCACATCTTTAAATTTCTTTCCCTCAATAGTTATTTCACAGGTACGATGTTTATCAGTAATTTGATTTACCCAATAAGGTGCTTTGCCTTGTTTATTTGTGCTTCCAAGTCCTTGTGTTCATTTAATTTCACATTTTCCCATTCCCATATACAGCACAATCAAGAGCTGTGCTATACACTCTCCTGGCTCTGCTTTTCAGGGAACAGAAGTAGATATAACAATTTCAATTTCCCCATTATAATCTGAATCAATGACTCCTGTATGTATTTATACCCCTTTTAAACTTAAACAAGAGCTGCCTAGAAGTAATCCTATTGTCCCTGCTAGCAAGGGTCCACAGACTCCTGTTGGGACCTTTTGTGGCAGTTCCCCAGGCAGAAGCCTCACAGCTTTTGTGCAGCATAAATCTACTGGGGCACTACCAGCTGTGGCAGTGGACAGACATTATACAGAGGTGAGGGAAGAGCCTGAGCTAGAAATGCCCCAGTTTAGAACAGGGCCCGGGATGGGCACCCCATGGCATTTCCTGAAATTGGGTTCCCTTCTTTATCAAACTTAGAGTGACACTGATTAGTACAATGTTGTCCTTTTATATGTTTTGGACATATTTCATGCTCAGCAGTTTTCTTTTTTCTCCTATCTTGTGGCCTGACTCGCTGATTTTTTCTACATTCTTTTTTAGTATGACCATGCTTCCCACAGTTTAAAGAAGCTCCATGAAATGGAGTATTTCCTTTATCCACTCTCAGTCCTGCCATTTCCTGTGCCAACAAAGTAGCTTTATGCAGATTGCTTCTGATACCATAACAGGCCTTGATATAATCAACTAAATGTGCTTTCCCTGTGATAGGTCACAGAGCAGCCTGGCAATCAGGATTAGCATTACTGAAAGCTAATAACTGCAACACTATATGCTGAGCAGCCAAATCTGCAGTCATCTTTTTAAGAGACTCCTGTAACAGAGCTATAAAATCAGTGTATGTGTTCTTTGGGTCCCTGTTTTATAGCACTAAAGGAAGGATATTGTTCTCCACATGAAGTGATTTTTTTCCCAAGCTCTAATGCACACTCCTCTAAGCTGTTCTATGTCATCATCCTGCATGACCAGTTGTGCATCTGAATCAGCCCAGCCGCCAACCCCCAAAGTTGGTCTGCAGTTATATTAATTTAATGTTGGGCATGGGCATTGTGAGCAGCCTGAATGGAAGCTTCATCTGCCCACCAAGTTTTAAATTGTAGGAACTGAACAGGAGTTAGACAAGCTCGAGTAAGAGCATCTCAGTCAGTAGGAATCATCTGACTGGAAACAGCAACATTCTTTAACAGTCCTATTACAAAAGGAGAACCTGGTCCATACTGATTTATAGCTTGTTTAAATTATTTGAGTAATTTGAAAGGAAAAGGCTCAAATGTAGCTATAACATTTCCCTGTTGATCTCGGTGGTGTATTCTAACAGGGAACTGCCAAGCTTCTAAATCACCCTCCCATCTAGCTTGTTGAATTCCTGCCTAAATAGAACTAAGAGTGGTCACTCAAGGTGCTGCTTGAACAGTCATGGTGGCAAATACTTTTTGCCCAGTGTCCTCCAGAAAAGAAAGATATGGAGGGTCTTTTTCTTCATAATAATAATGAGGGTGTGCAGAAGTATAGGGATGAACCTCTCCTTCCTTTGCCACTTTAGCTTTAGCTGGCAAATAAACATGCTCTGTAACCTCTTCTGTTACTTCCCTATATTCTCCTTCCTCCTCACCATCAGTATGAAAAAGTTCCAAGGTGGAACGAAACACACCTCACACTTCTCCCATTGTTACCCTGATGCTTCTGAGCTCCCCTTATTACTCACCACGGGGATTGTTTTAAGAGTACTCGGGTGTCCTCCAGCTAGTTCCACCTTCTCAAACCATCACTCTGGTGATGCTTCAACCTGGATTCAAGCCCCCATGATGGACGCCACTTGCCAAGACCAGCTCAGTCAGGGAAACCCTCACCCAGTGGTGCTAGAGGAATTAAGGACACACACACAGAAATATAGAGGTGTGATTTGGGAAATGGGGTCTCACAGCCTTCAGAGCCGAGAGCCTCAAACAAAGATTTACCCACATATTTATTAAGAGCAAGCCAGTCATTAGCATTGTTTCTATAGATATTAAATTAACTAAAAGTCTCCCTTATGGGAAACATACAGATGGGCAGAATTAAAGGAATAGGTTGGGCTAGATAAATGCAGCAGGAGCATGTCCTTAATGCACAGATCATGCATGCTATTATTTGTGACTTAAGAATGCCTTTAAGTGGTTTTCCATACTGGGCAGGTGAGGTATTCCTTGCCCTCATTCCTGTAAACCCACAAACTTCCAGAGTGGGCTTTATGGCCATCATGAACATGTCACAATGCTGCAGAGATTTTGTCTGTGGCCAGTTTTGGGGCCAGTTTTTGGCCAGATTTTGGGGGGCTTGTTCCCAACACAATCATATTCAGGTTCTTCAGTTATTTCTGTGAAGAAATTTCCTGGGTTCAAGCAAAGTCAGGTTGTTAACCAAACTACAAATTTTTCAGCGGCAAAGCTTGATATTTTAGGAAAAGATTCTCTATTATCCAAAAACATTCTTTAGAGGATAGCAATTCTCCTAAATTATGTGGGGTGTAAACAGTAAAATTATTCCCCATCGTTAACTTTGTAACTTCCAACACCAGCATGTCCAACAGTGCTACTCAACTGCTTGGAGGCAGTCTGTTTATTCTTCAGGCAGCAGGTTGAGATCCTGGCTTAGGTAACTTACCAACTGCTTGTCTGGATCATGGGTCTGAGTTGAAACTCTCAAGGCCATCCATTTCTTTTGTGAAGCATAAAATTTAAATGTCTAATTTATGGGAAAACTGAAGGTAGGTACTTTGAGTAAGGCTTGTTTTAACTGATTAAAGGTATTTTGAGCTTCAAGTGCCCAGATTAGAAAGTTAGCTATAGCTGCTTGAGTTTATTTTATAACGTGATATAAAGGGTTACCTAGTTTACCATACATGGGTATCCACAATCTGCAAATATCGATAATGCCCCCAAATCCTCTTAGTTTTAGAGATGGAGGAGAAGAAAAAGAGGAAATGGGCTAAATCTTCTCCTTGACTAATGCTCTAGTTTCTTCTGATAGGACCAGGCCTAAGTACTTCACTGAGGTCTGACAAAGCTGAGCTTACATTGTAATTCTTCATAACCTCTGCTTGCTATATAATTGAGAAGCCTTCTCAGTTGGGGCACAGAGGAGAATGTCAAACTGTAAAACTTTAACCTGAGGATGAGAGAACTCAGAGAGGTCTCTTGATAATGTCTACTAAAACAGGTGGAGGCTTTCTTAAACCCCTGTGGCAATACTTTCCATGTTAACTGTGTATCCTGTTTGGACAGATTCTCAAAGGAAAAGAGGTATTGGAAGCCAGGGTGCAATGATAAAAATAAAAAAGGCATCCTTCAGGTCTAAAACTTTAAACCATTCAGTTCTCTTGGGAATTTGAGTTAGAAAAGTACAAGAATTAAGAACAACCAGATAGAGTGGAAAAACTGCCTCAATAGTGAGACAAGTGTTCTTAACTAGCCTCCAATCCTCATTGGGTTTCTCTACTCCTAATATTCTCCTAATATTTGCAGTTTTTTAAAGACTGATGTGGGGTCTAAGGAGGTCTTTCTTCTATAGCTTATTTATAATGTCTTCTAGCATTTTTCTACCTTATGGCTTTGGGAAATACTGCCCCTGGCTAGAAAGAATAGTGGGATCCCTAAGGTAAATATTGATGCATGTAGTGGCTGTAGTTCAGTAATTTTTTTCTTGCTATCCCACACCTTTTCATTAATACTGATTTCCGCTAAGGGGAGAAAAAGATTTTGTCCGGAGCCATTAAGATAGTGGCTTCTATATGGGCCGAAATATCTCTACCTAGTTAATATTGATTTCCACTAAGGGGAGACAAAGCATTTGTCCTGGAGCCATTAAGATGATGCCTCCTGTATAGGCCAGAATATCTCTACCTAGTAATAAAGTGGGACTTTCAGAAGTGACTAAATTGGCATGAGTAAATAGAAGGTCGTTCCAACTATAACTGTGAGCTGAGAAAATATTGGGTAAAGTTCTTTGCTGACACATCAATCATTTGTCACATAATGGAAGGATAGAAGACCTAGATTGGAGAGGAGAACAAAAAGACTTGCTCCAGCTTCCAGAGGGAATTCTACCTTCCTCCCTCCCACCTCAAGAATCACTCAAGGCTCCTAAGGAGTATGGCCCTTGAGGAGTATGGCAGCTCTTAGAGCTGAGGAATTGATATCTATGAATTATTAGTCCTGCTAGAGCATTTGTGAGACTGATCCTGGGCCTACTGATGTATGCCTCTGGAAACAGCACTCCTTTCAGTGGTTACCACAACAAGTTGGACAGTGTTAAGTTGGTTTCCTTTGTTGTCTCAGCATTTCTTGTTAAGTGTCCTGTCTTGCCAAACTGATAACAGTTATCGGGTGCCCTCAGGGACCCACATTTTATAGACCTGTATTGTGGTCTTTAGAGTCTCTGTTCTTTTCTTTTCTTTTCTTTTCTCTTTTTCTGCTATGCTTGTTTTTGTTCCCTATTGTAAGTCTGAACTAGCCACATTCAGGGGGTTCTCTAGAATGTTTCTGAGAGGAGAAAGCTAGCTTGACTTAGGGGGACAGCAAGGAATTGTTCCTGGGAAACCCCCAGCCTAGAGGTCACTGCATCATTTATACATACTACACTAAGCAGCCTGAAAAATAAATCAGGTTGCAGACTTCAATAAGATAACTAACACATGGGTGTTGTACCTAGAGATGCACCTGTGTGTTTATAGGCAGAAGAACCTTCAATCCATTCAGATAAAAATCTTTCACAAATTCTGATTCATTCAAATAAGAAAACTAGGCCTGGCATAAAAATATCCTTGTCCTTTTTATAATCAGTGGGCTCTCAGGAAGCAGTTTCTTCTTCATTTGGAAACATAAACAGAGTGGGTTCTGGTTGGCATTGATTTTTTCTTTTTGGACTGTGAGCTGGGCCTCTATGAATCATTATTTTAGTTATTAATTAGGCCTGGGCCAAATTTTTGGGCCAAGCTTTCACATCAGCTCCTGTTAGGTCATGGGATAAGCTGAACAGCCACTGTAAATTATGACTTCAGTCCCTGATTATTTCTGTGCAAGCCTCCTGGGCTAAGCTTTTTAATTAATCTCAGGCAAAGACCCTGGGCCAAGCTGAATCACATGTTCTTCAAAACAGCCCACTGACTAAGCACATTTCTTTCTCTTCCCACTTTATTATAACCCTGAAACCCAGCCTCATAGTAGAAAACGCAGTTGGGCCTCTCTTTTTACTAGGAGAGAGCTTTTCTTTTACTCTTCTCTTTTGTTTTAATCTCATCTTTGGTGCCATAGCTTCTTAATTTTTTTGGATGTAATACAAAAATCTTTGGGTATAATATCATACGAAGGGATACTACTAAATCTTGGTGCATTGGTGGGACTACAACATATATTGGTGCATGGGCTGAGAAACAAATAATTCATAAGAGGGTAAGAATGGATCTTTAATCTTTTACATTCATTTCAAAAACGTGTTTGTTTTTTTTTCAATCTAGTTTTCTTTCATGAAGAGCCTGGCTACCACATGGGACATAAAGGAGATCCTAGGGAAACTGCAAGTTTCTCACTGAGGTTACAACTCTGTAATCTGATTGCCCTTAGACTAGTTCCAGTCCCTAACAGCTCATCAGGCTGTTAGCACAAGGACTTCCAGTTTTTGTCTATTAAATTTACCATTTTGCTTCTCACAGCTATTATGTCTTTTATCCATTTTTTGTATGGAATGCTCTGGGCATTTTTACAGCCTAGGTATAAAATTTTGCTGAGTAGAGTCACTCAATGACTTAAGCAGGAATGTAATTCAGAAAGGTTTGTTTTTGTGATTTCCCTGAAACAAGGGCAATTCAAGAATTCAGTATAAATATTTACCTATTAAGGGCCTTTCTGTCCAACAATGATAGAGTTTTATGGCACTGTATGGGAGGATATTTCATCCAAAGTGAATACTCTTTTTTTAATTTGGATTTTTAAGAGATATTATGGTTTTCCATAGAACAGTTATATCATGAGACAAGTTAAATTTTGCCTGATTGGGGGCATACACTGGAGACAACTGATCAAACCCTGAACTGTCTTTCTAACTTTTGGCTGAAGTGAGTTTGGAGTCAGAATTATTGTTCTTTCTTTCTTTTTTCTTTTTTTTTCTTGATGGAGTTTTTGCTCTTGGCATCCAGGATGGAGTGCAATGGTGGGATCTTGGCTTACTACAACCTCCACCTCCCAGATTCAAGTGGTTCTCCTGCCTCAGCCTTCTGAGTAGCTGTGATTAAAGGTGCCCACCACCATGCCTGGATTTTTTTGTATTTTTAGTACAGATGGGTTTTTACCGTGTTGGCCAGGCTGGTCTTAAACTTTTGTCCTCAGGTGATTCACCTGCCTTGACCTCCCAAAGTGCTGGGATTACAGTTGTGAGCCACCATGTCTGGCCAGGAGTCAGGATTTTTAACCTAGCATTTCTAGCCTTACAATACCTCCTAGTGAAGTGAGATTTCTTTTCTATTGAAAGCCTTGGCAAGTCATTGTCCAAAACTTATGGTTTCCTAATTATTTTCCCAACAATGTTCCTCTAGCAGTGATTAGGCCCCATGTTCTATCTGTAAGCAGGCAGCCTCCACTTTAACTGTTGGGAGGAAGACACTGTTGAAGGGCAGATTTTAACCTCTTTGCTGTCCCCATCTAATGAAGGACCAGCCATTCAGCTTTTGCACTCTTTTGAGGCACCTATTCTCCATTTTCTTAATTTGGGATTTAAAATGTTTGAAAGTCAATCTCTCTCATTCTCTGAGATTCTGATGTTTCTCTGGGCACATAGGAAAAGCAAGTTAGTAGGAGGACATTTTCTCCATTAAAAAGTCTTGCACAAATTCTACTACTAAATAACATCTCCCTGAAAACAGAGTAGATGCTTCATGCAGGTAAGCATGGCTAGTAAGCAGATTAGCTCTCCCCAAATCCTTGAGTAAAGGTTGTTGTTTCATTTATGGGAAGCATGTATGATAGATTTTCAGACCCAGACGAGACAGAGGAAGTAGAAGAAGGGTACCGTAACAATTTCTATTTACCCTGTATCACAACAAAACAGGAAGAGGTCTCAAGGACACCTTGTCTCCCCTCCATTTCTAGATGGCAACGATGCATCTGCAGAGTGAATTCCAATGATATGCATTTGGAAACACTGGAATTCCATCAACCCTGAGACTCTAAATTAAAAAAAAAAGCTTAAGCCAGGTGTTGTGGCTCACACCTGTAGTCCCAACACTTTGGGAGGGCAAGGTGGGCAGATTGACTGGTCAGCATGGTAAAATCCCATCTCTGCTACAAATACAAAAATTAGATGAATGTGGTGGCAGGTGTCTTTACTCCAAGATACTCAGGAAGCTGAGCCAGGAGAATCCCTTGAACCCCCGAGGCAGATGTTGCACTGAGACAAGATTGTGCCATTGCACTAAAGCTTGGTCAACAGAATGAGACTCTATTTCAAAATACAGATAAATGTAAATATACATATACATATACATATACATATACATTTAAAAAACAGCTTATATTCTGTTGACAACAAAGTGGCCATTTTACAAAGAGGAGGCCTGGGCCTTCTCAAAGAAGAATAGTTTCAATACTATCTGGCAACTAAGGCTCTTTTGCCCTTAAAGAAAATGTGAATTTTGTAAGCATTGTGGAATTTACTTTGCCTTTTTATTAGCCATACAAAGCAAGTGTACAATACATAATTTTCAAAAGTCAGAGAGAGAAATCTCTGGAGAACCCTCAGATGCTATTTCTGAGTGCCCTATCTGCCTTCTTTATCTGGGGCTACCAATAGCCATATAGAAACTCCTCTGGTTGTGCTACCTTAAGAAACCTCCAACTTTGCTCTTGCCTGTATAGCAAATGCCCAATGAACATGGTGGAACTAATTTAAATTTCCTTATCATTGCAGTAACATTAAACCAATAAAGTAGGACTTAGGCAAGTTCTCTGATGACCCTGATAGACATACACAGGCTTTTCAAAATTTAAACCAAGTGTTTAATCTAATGTGCAGAAATGTTGTGAGACTTTTAGGCCAAATTTTAACTGCTGCTGCTGCTGCTGCTGAAAAACAGGCAGCATTGCCGGGAGCAAAGAATTTTTAAGATGAACAACTGGTACCCTATAGTCAGGAAAGAAACACAGTTGAAGGAAAAATTTAGTAAAAAAGAGATGAATTACTATTTCCAATACATACGAAAACAGTGCTTTTTGAAAACCCTAATTGATGTCTGAGTGATCCCATGGATAAGTGGATAAGAAAACACTTTCTTATGTGCATATTAGCAGGCTTCCAAAGAACTAGAAAAAAACCTCTTAAATAATCTAAACTATCGTTGTTGAATCACAAACCAGATAAAAATCTCTTAGGCTCTTTGGAAAGTCAGAGAAGCTTTAGTGAAACATACCTCTCTACCTCCTAAATCCATCAACAGACAGATAATGTTAAAATACATGTTTATTTCTCAGGCAGCCCCTGATATCAGAAGAAAACCACAAAAGCAGGCCATGGGATGACTCAGCACTGTGGACAGCCTCCTGGGGTGGATTTTTCAGTCTTTTACAAGAAGACCTGGAACGAGGAGTCCCAGAAAATCCAGGGGGGTCATAAGAGAATGAAAGAGGTACTACGGCTACATTACAGGCCTACAAGTTGCAGAATTACCAAGGTGCACCTGCTAATTTCTACTGGTGTGACAAGCCAGGACACTTTCAAAGGGATTGCACAGGCAGTAAGAAGAATATACTTAACTTTGTCCAGCCTGTGGTGGAGACCAGTGAAAGTAAAAATGACCCCAGTGACATTTGTCACCAATCAAATGTGTTTTCCCCTGATTGTTCAGCAGGAATAATGGGTCCCAGGCTCTACAGCCATTGTGATACAGAGGATCCAAGTAATTCTGGAGGTAAAGGCTAAATAATTTTCATCTAGTTTTAATCTGTTATCAGTATCTTAGAGTAATTAAGAAGTATGGCCCTGTTCCCTCATAAACCTTCCAGTATGCTTATTAGATTTTTTTTTTCACTCATCTACAAGATCACCAAGATGTCAATTGGGTTTTCAAGAAACGCTGTTTCCTTTCTTATTAGAAATAAACATTTTGCTATTTGTTTAACTTTTTTTTCCCCTTTCACCCTCCCTTCTTCTTGAATTTTGGCTGGCTGTAAGAAACACACATTTCCTCTATAAAAAATTCTGCTATCTATAAAGCTGCCTGCTTTACTGTAACATTTAGGGATTGCTTTAGGAGTAATGTAGTATTTTACAAGTAAGATTGAACACTTGGGTTATGCTTTGAAATGCCTCTGTATATGAATCAGGGTCATCAGAGGACTTGCTTGTTTCCTGCTATTTGTGTAAGGCCCTGAAATGAGAAGAAAACTTGAACTCTAGTAGCACCACATCTATCGATTATTTCCTGCAGGGGCAGCAGTGAAGTTGGAAGTTTCCTTGGTGGCACAAGAAGAAAAGCTGATGAAATGGCTGTTGGAGGGCCTGCATAAGGGTGGCAGGTAGGGCATTTAGAAGTCACATTTGAGGGTTCCTGAGGGGTTTGTCTCTGACTTTAATAAATTATTGTTTTAAACTTGCCTGATATGACTGCCAAGAGGGCAGTCAATTTTACAATGTTTATGATGATCTGGGTTGTCTCCAAAATCAAAGTAAGCTTAAACATAGAAAATTTCAAAGTGGTTTTTTTTTTCCCATCTTGAGAAAAGATCTAGTTGTTGAATAGTATTAAAATGAACACTTCCCTCAGGAAGCCAGGCCTGCCTGTCTGGAGCTGGTAAGATAGCAATGCCCTTTTGCCAAAACAAACAAACAAAACCACTTTTTTTTCAGAGTCACATGGTCAAATAAATTCCAGTGTTTCTGAATGCAACCTAGAGAAGTCCAGAATGCAGAAGGTTTATGACCTTTCAAAATATATAGAAAGAGAAAGAATCCCACAGTCTCTTTCCTCTTTTTGAAAAACCCTGAGTGAAAAGAAAGATAGAAAGTGTGTTCATTGTTTTTTCATTTTTCTTGTCTTTTATGGATCTGGCAACTATCATAGTTGTCCTCCATGGATACAATCATAATCTTCACCCATGGTTCCAGAGGAGCTAGTAAGAAGGAGAAGTAATGTTCACCTGCACAAGGCGTTAGCTCTCCACTAGTGATCCTTTGTTGGTCTCCTAAGCATACTCAACCCAGAAGATTCCAAAGGTAGCTTGGCAACCTAAGAAAGATTATGGGTAGTTTGATTTGAGCAAGGACCTTTTGCACAGTGGATGTTCAATACTATTTCTGTCTTTCTTTGCTGTTGCCCTAGTAAAATCTTGAAATTCCAGAAAATGAGATCGATTGACTTTGAAACATAAAATTCTCTTTTAGTTTAAATGCCATTGCTGCTGGAAGCAGAATACATGCCTCCAAAAATGTAGGACTTGAATGGCTGGTCTTCTTAAAATAGCACTAAGTGGCCGGGTGCGGTGGCTCATGCCTGTAATCCCAGCACTTTGGGAGGCAGAGGTGGGCAGGTCATGAGGTCAGAAGTTCGAGATCAGCCTGACCAATATGGTGAAACGTCATCTATACAAAAATTACAAAAATTAGCTGGGCATGGTGGTGTGCACCTGTAATCACTGCTGCTCAGGAGGCTGAGGCAGGAGAATCACTTGAACTCGGAAGGTGGAGATTACAATAGCCGAGATTGCATGACTGTGCTACAGCCTAGGCAACAGAATGAGACTCCATCTCAAAGCAGAGAGAGAGAGAAAAGCCCGGAGCTAGAATATGTCTCTCAAAGGCAACTTTCTGCCAACTATTGAAAGTGGATATTTTCTGTTTACAGATAGGGCATGGAGTCTTATTACTGTTAGAGAGGCACAGTAGAGAGAGGAGTTGAAAACCTCAGGGTTTTGGGCAAAGTACTGACAAGTCTTCCTACAGAGAAAAATTTCATCACACTAGGTGACATGGTAAGATCTAAAATGTTAGATGAAAACTCTGACTCCAAGGTTTTTGTAGCCAAAATTTAGAAAAAGAAGGGGAAAACTCTATAGGCTGTCCCCACAGTTCGTGTCTCTGCAGAAAAAAAGATTAATGTGTCTCAATAAAGAAACTGTTTAGATTTATATGGCAATGCTGAGCTTTTTACAGAGAAATAACCAACAAAAAGAAAAACTTTCTTCTGAATGTATATCTTTCCATAGAGTGCCATGAATATCTGTCACAGGGGGACAAAAAGACACTCACCAAATAAAAATTTTTAAGAGTACAATTTGAGTTCTTTCTGGTTCCAAAAAAATCACAAAATAGCATCTCTTTTAATTATATTTCTAATTACTAACACACCAGCTGACATTACCCCATAAGATTATATCTCCAGGTTTCAACATTCATACAAAGAGGAAATAGAATATATAATAGTCACAAAAAGAAAAAAAATGCAACAGAAATTTCTGGAATTTTTGGTGGCAACATAATTATGGGCTGTCAGAAACTGTAGTTAGTCCTGAGGCTTTCAGGTAACACTGTGGTGTAGTCTTAACCAGAAACCTTCAGTTTTTCTAGATTTTCTTTCAGCCCCACATGATGACTAGGTCCTGCATGAAAGAAGACTGAATTGGAACAGAGGCAACATTTTTGACACCTAAGGGTAAACGGGGATTGCCAGAGTGTTTCCCAGCAGGCCTATCTCCTGAGCCTTGTAAGGATGGTAGCCATTTTATTGGGTTTTAACTGACACTGGCCCAGTGTTTTGTGTGCTCTTGAGAAATTAAAAAAGAAAACCCTGAGGACAACAAGCCTCAGAAGTGAATGTAAATAGTTTGGAGGTGCACTCCTAGTCACTTTTTAATTAATCTTTTTCCAGCTCATGCAAAAAAAACATAGTTGCTGTCCCCCAACGCACCACAGTGTATCAGTTTCTCATTCTGAGGTGTCACATAGATTTTTTTTTATCTAAAGGCCAAGAAATTAAGAGCCATGAATGAAAATGATGAGATTGTAGCAAATGTTTAATAAGTTAACTTCTTGTGGAGGAAAGTGAGTTGTCCACGATAAGGAAGTGTCTGATGTTTTTTATGGAATGGGAAGAAACAGAATGTCCTAACTATTCTTGAAGAAAGCGCTACTGAACTTTTCCAGGGACTTTGACGTGGGACAAATTAGGAGCTAAAGTAGTGACTCAGAAGTGATTCAGCTTGGCTCAGGAACTTGGCCCTGGATCATTCAAGAGCTAAAATAATAGTGTGGCCTAGGACCAGCCAAACTCAAACTGCTTCTGAGAAACAGACAGCCCTACATGCAACAAGAGAGATTCAGGGACAACTGCACGTTGTCTACAGCCAGCGTAAAATACAAAAGGTACTCAAAGGGACCATATTGAATCAGAAACCAGATAAAAATTTTTCAGCCTTTATGAAAAGGCAAAGAGGGACGTTCATGAAACACACTTTTGTAGCTCCTCAATCAATTAATACATTGATAGTCTTAAAAGGCAAGTTTATTACTCAGGCACCTACTAATATCAGAAGAAAACTTCAGAGGCAGGCTCTGGAATTGTACACTACCTTGGGAAACTTCGTGGGCATAGCCTTCTCTATCTTTTATGACAGGACTCAGGAACAGCCACAGCAAAAAGAGATGATGCAAAAGAAAGACAAAGACTAGTGACCCAATTACAGGCCTATAAAATCCAAGATATTTGACATTCACCTGTAAACTCCTCTCAGTGAGGTAAGCCAGGGTACCTTAGGAAGAATGGCTAAGGCATCAAAATGTAGCTACCTTGACCCTTTCCATCCTGTGTTGGTGACTACTACATGTTGGACTGCCTCCAAGAGTGTTCATCACAGTGTGGGGCCAGTTTCCCAGATGGTCCAGTAAGACTAATGCATCCCAGATCTCAATTCCCACACTTCATTTGTTGCCATCTCATTAATGCACCACAATGTAGCAATCTCTCATTGTGAGGTGTCAAGCAGATCTCTTTGTCTCATGGCCAAGAAAATTAAGGAGCATGGATGCAAACAGGTTGAAGCAAAAGTTTTATAAGTGAAAGTAAAAAGCTCTTTACAGTGGAGGTGGGGTGTAAGTTGTGTGCCTACTATAAGGCTGGGCTTCAGGGTTAATAAAGACAGAAAACGAAAGAAATGTGCTTAGTGGTCTTGGAGAAACATTACTCAGCCTGGCCCTGCACTTTGGCTGGGGATTCTTCAGGAGGTTAAGTAATGATTTATAGATACAACTTAGCTTGGCCTTCATCCTTTGCCCTGGACCAAGCAGCAGCTAAAGTGAAAGCTTGGTCTGATACCTTGGCCTGGGACCAATAACATGCTGAAGTGTTGTTTCATGACCAAGATAATTAAGGAAACTACACATAAAGTTCAGATAGGACAGAAGTTTAATAATCAAAAGAAGAAAGCTGTTCACATTAAAGAAGGGACCCATGAGACTTTCCAACTGTAATGCTGGGTCTGAGGTTTTTGTGAACTGGAAAGAAAGAAATATTCTGAGTTGCATGTGAGCTATCTTGAAGAAAGCAGTAATCAGCTTGGTTCAGGACCTGACCCGGGACAAATCAGAGGATGAAATAAAAGCTTTGTTTGGGGCATTGCATCAGGAAAAAGCAGAAGCTGAAGGGATGAATCAGAAACACTTGGCTCACAGGTCAAAACATATTCAAATTAGAAAAGTGTCCCAGCAGAGCCCACTAGAGCCTACTAGGTATCATGCCCACAAAGACAGAATTGTCTACTTTTTGAAGCCTGCTGATTATGTGAATGACAAAGGTATCTCTACATGTGGCCTTCCTCCCCTATCTGTGCAGCTGTGCATATGTTTTAGGCAAAAACGACAAAGGCATTTTCATGTTCTTTCCTGTTTTCTGATTATTGCAGCTGTGAACATGTCTTTTGCTACCCTCCTCTTCTAGTTCTCTTACAGTTGCCTGCAACTTAACTTTTCAGTCTGTTTCTGTGCTTAAAAGAGTTTTACCAAGAACCCTTCCTAGTTTCCTGTTTTTCTCTCCCACATCATGAAGGTAAATTTAATGTGTTTTGTGCATAAAACAAAGCTGTGTGAAGAAATATTCTGTGGAGCTTTCCACTTGTGTCATGTCATCACTCAAGTTTCACACTGGAGTACATTTAATGTTTTTGTGTTAGCAATGTTCAACCTGCACTTTCTTCTTTTAAAATAAATGACTTTGAAAAAGAGAATAAATTGTTTTAATTCTTAGATCATTTGGTAGAATTCGACAGTGGAATTCTACCCAGGACTCTAGTCCTAGGGTTTCTTTTAAGTAGCTATAAGATTGTGAAATATATTTGGTGTTTGTCTCTGTTTTCTGGCATAGAAATCCTGAGTTCTTTGGAATCTCCAAAGTGATGTCTTTTTATATGCTAATAACTGACTGCTTCAGGTTGGGGCTTGTTAATAAAAAGACAAGACTTGATAAGTGTGCAGGGACTCCCAGGGTCACCCTGCATTATTTTGGAATAGGAGAGTTGCTGCGGGTACTGGCAGAAGCAGCCTATTTAGAGGGGCTGCAGAAAAGATGCCAGGTGTAGTGAGGGAGGGGCAGCCAGGGCTCTTCACTCTGTGAAGCTGGTGGGAACCAAGAACAGAGAGAAGCCACACCCACATCCAAGTGGAATTAGCAGAAACCTCACCTACTCAGGCACAGTTGCAGCTGCCTAGCCATGCTGCAGACTCAGGCATCCCTGTGCTTTCTGGGGACTGGAAAGCCATCCTTCCTACAAAGGCTCTGAAATCCCATTGCCTGGCCTCTCCCAGATCCTAGTGTCCCCTTGAATGTTGAAGAAAATTTTTAGCTAAGCCCAGGTGCTGTCATGACCTGACCAGGTGTGCTTACACTTGAGGTTGTACTGAAACAAAAACCGTATGCCACATTAGTTTTCTCTAGTCTTTTGGCCTCAGTGAGCATAGGAGACTCAAGGAGTTGGTATGGGCCTGGAGGTTTGTCTTTGCAAAAATAGCCTTGGTACCATTAACTGTAGCAGGAGACAGACAGGCATCTAGGCAGAAAGAAGCAGTTTCTCATTAAAACTCCATCTTCAAGCCATGGATTTTCTGAAGACTGGGGGCTGGGCTGCATGTTCTGGAGATGAGAATGAAAAGTTATGTCTCTTTCTGGGCCCACCAATAGCACCACTGACCAATCAGCACAGTACTTCTGCCTACTTAAGCCCATATGAACTCCAGAGTTAGGGAGATCATGGATAACTTGCTTGCAAATTGGAGCTAACCACTGTCGGTCTCCTCTCCACTGAGAGTTGTGCAATTGCTGGCATTACAGGCCTGCAGTTAGATACGTCTCCTCTCCATTAAGGGCTGTAGCAACGTCTCAACAACCTTCCTGCAGATAAAAGCTTGCCACTCTGCATCTCATCCATACTGAGGACTGCAGAGATGTCAGCACAAACTGCCTGCAGATTGGAGCTCCTCACTCTGGTTCTACTCGTCACTGAGGGCTGCACAGATGAAAGTAGGTCCTGCTTGTAAAAAGGAGCTGCCTGCTTTACATCCACTGCAAACTGTACTGTCACTCAATAAAGCACATATTTACCTTGATTATTTTTTAGTTGTTCACATACCTCATTTTTCCTGGACATGGGACAAGGACTCAGGACTGAATGGCAAAACTGAAAAATTAGTAACACAAACAGGACTGAAACTCACAACCCCCAGGTTGCCACATTGTTGCTTACCACAAAAATAAGGGACAGCAGAGCTTTGGCCCTAAAGGAACTCAGACCTAAACCTTTCCCAAGACAGTGTTGTGACACCCTCTTTGGGGCTGTGCAATTTCTGACATTTCTAAGCTTCTGGATTCCACTGCATTTCCCCGTCCCTGGAGAGGAAACAGCTTTTGGTATGCCAAATTCAGCCAAAGAACTTTAGGGAGCTGGCCCCTGTGCCAGCACCTGGAACTGCTCATCCATCATAGCCAATATGGCTAGCTGTGTGCAGTGGCTGTGCTCAACCATCACTCACTCATTCACCTAACTCTGTCCCTGTGATAAAGGTGACGTTGATCACCATCAGCCAGTGGATTATTCAATCATACCTACATAATGGAGTCTCCATAAAAATCCAAGAGGACAAGATGCCAGAGCTTCTCGATGGCTGAACATGTAGAGTGTTCTAAGAAATAGTGTGCACATAAAAGCAAACACCAGTAATTTAAATGTCAGATATAGTGTAGGTATCTTTTCTTCTCTTTGAAAGAAATTTCTGCCTTTAATAATGTGTCCAGAATTTTAACTTATTAAATAGAACATACTCAAAGTTAACCCAAAAGTATATATTCTAAACATTAACACTTGGATAATTCTACCTAAATGATTTCATGATGCACTAATATTGTACAAGTTTTGTTTTAGAGAGATAAAGATTTCTTCAAGTTAACTGGGTAAACACTAGACATTTATAAAGAAAAAGAAATTCAATTGAAATCTCAGCATAAATTGCATCCTATTTCAGTTTGGGAGAGAAATCATCAGTGAATTTTGTGTTGGAAATGTTTATCCTAAAATATTAGGCTTTTAATTTGGAATTTTGTGTCTCTGTGGTATTTGTTCCACTATAAAGTCAAAAGCACCATCTCAGATGTTTCTGTGTCTCTATTTTGGGGAAAGGGGAAGAGGCTGCCTCATACCCCATTAAATTCTGCATTCTAGAGTAAAAAATAAAAAAAAATTATTAAGTTTTTTGTATTTCAAATCTAATTAATCACAATTTTGTTTTTTTTATAGAGTAGTAGTCATGGATAAAAATTAGAATTTGAAAGAACAGCCAAGTGTTCACCAGTCTGATTTTATATTTGGGCTTATATGTGCATAAAATTATGACATTTTGACAAAGAAGTTGCTTCATTATTTATTTTAAAGTTACAGTACTTAAAATTTCATTCATAATATTAAATAAATAGCTTTGACATTTCCAGTTCTGTTTCCAAGACTTAGATATTGGGAGAATTGTTTTGGGATATGCAGGTGGATTAGGGCATCTTGCAGCTAATGATGTCTTCTTCTCAGCTCGGTTATTGTGCCCTGAGCAGACAGACTGATAATTAAAATTCATCATTTTTTTTTGCACTTACACTAACATATATTATATCCCATGGGCTGAGCCCCAGATTTTCTTCAGCATTTAACATTCTTTCTCAGCCATTTGTTCAAACTCCATCTTAATATTACAGCTAGCAAGGGCCTTACATTCCTCCAGCACTACTGGATTACATGAGACAAACTCATTAATTTGAACCATAACCTCTTGGGTGAAAGTTGCTGTCCAAAACACCTGAGAAACCAGGTGTTTGGCACATGCCTCCTGTATTGTCAGCTTTCACACATCAATCAACATTTTATTGGCAGATGCTTCACCCATCATCTTGGGAAATGTAACACTAGAAAGCCATCTGAACTCTGTCCAAATGTTGTATAAGGGGTTTGAAACCAAAGCTGTCATTAGCCCAAATCAAGTGACAAAGAGGCAGTATGGATGCACCCAGTCCAATCGCGGGCCCATTGACTGATACAACAGTTGACTTTTTAAATTGAATGAAATTGTCGAAAACATTCTTGATATTGTCCACCATTTCAATGCTTGTTCTCTTTCTGTCATTTGTTAAATGCTTCACGAAGTACCCAAAATCAAGACCACAGCAAAAGACACTGCCAGCTGTGCTGAACAGCACAAGTTTGCTATCATCTGGAGCAGCCATATTCAGAGCATTCATGATTTCTTTCATTACTTCTGCATTCAGTGTGTTTTCTCCTGTCAATCTAGTTGATACCAATATCTAGGTGAATCCATCCTCTTTCCTCACTACAATGTCTCTGTATCTGCTGGCACTTTCTGTTAGCCTTCTGGTGACATGCATCCTCTACATAAAAGGCTGGTCTCTTTTATTATCAATAACCTTTCTTTGCCCGCCTCTCACTCTTGTAATAGGTGTATGCATATTTGTTCTTCTGTGTAACAGGTGTATGCATATTTGTTCTTCTGTTGGCTGTTAATGAGTCCATTAATACCAATATACCTTCCTTGTTAGCTGAGCCTGTGACCATGGATGCAGTAGTAACTGAGCCAGACATCTGAGACAATAGTGCATGTATCAGTGGCCTTTTTTCTATTCCAACTGGTCCTGCACTGGGATCTGATAAAGCTCTGACAGGCTTCTCTACTGCCACGTTGAACACCACTGTGTCCTGCTAATCTGGTGCAATAGGGTTTAGTGTCTCAGGTTCCTGAATGTCAGTCACTCTGTTCTTGCTGCTAAAGGGGCTCTGATGTGCAAGTGTCTTGATAGTTGAATTTACTATCTCCATATTCTTTGGGTGAAAGAGAGGTGAAGCTGCATTTTTCCTAACGTTGTGGCTGGCAGCAAATCACTGGCTGTTTTAGGCCTTGTGGTGTTTGCCAGTTAATAACATATTAGGAGAGTTATTAGAAAAGTTGGTGTTGGTAGATCTGGAAGTTCTTTTTTTTTGGGCATTGTTTGAAAAAGTTCTACTTGTTTTGATCTGTGTCTTTGTTTTCTGATTTTCAGTCTGTCATCTGTTAAAGACTTAGAAACATTTTTCACAGTTCACAATGTGCTGCTCTGGTTCCCAAGTGTCATCCCGTTTGTCATAACCTTTCCACTGAACCAAATACTCTGTCTTCTCTTTTTTGTCTTGTCTTGTGTAAACAAAAGTTTCAACCTCTAACTATTGGGAATCCGTAAAGAAAGAGACCGATTTAGGGTAGTTGCTGTGCCAACTTTATTTCAGTGGGGTCTTCCCATAGTTACATTTTTCTGCCTCCAGTGCTTCACCAGGTGCTAAGTATGGATGAGCCTCTTCCACTTCGTTGCCACTGGTGTAGTAAAAGTTGTGTGAAGGAGCAGCTATGGTATGTGCCTTAGGCTCTCCACACTTACTCCCTGGTGGAAGAGCTTGGGCTTGGTCTCATGGTGCCAAGATAGCTTGCTTCTCACATGAGAGAAGCTAAATCCACCGCTGCTACTCTGGTGTAGTGCAGAAAGCTTTCTACCTGCCTGTTACTCTTTCCTTTACAGTTGCTCTAACCATTATATTGAACATTCTAAAGTTATAACATTGTTAAAGTCACTCTAATTTACATTCAATAACATAAAAATCCTTACTCCTATATAGAATGGCCTCCATTACTTTACTTACTGAGTTCTCAAAATTATACCTTTATGCACTGTATGTCAAAAACACAAGTTAGTGAATATATATATAAATATAGATAATATAATACTATATATATTTTATATATATATACACACATATGTTTGTGTGTGTTTTAAATTATGTGGAGAATCACTTGTGAAGGTGCACATTGTTAATTTATATATATATATTGTTAATTGCTTATGTATTTATCTTTACCTTAATATTTATTTATTCATACTGCTGTCTAGTGTTCATTTTGCCATGAAGTACCCCATAAAGCATTTCTTAAAGGGTAGTCCGGTGGTAAAAGACATCAGCTTTTATCTGAAAATGTCATAATTTCCCTCTCAGTTTTGATGGACACTTAGAACATAAAATTTCTGTTTGAATTTGTTCTATTACATCACTTGGAATATATTAGCCCATTGCTTTCTGGCCTCGAATTTTTAGATAAGAAATCCACTTTTTATTTTTGAGGGTCCTCTGTACATGACTAGTCACTTCTTTTGCTGCTTTCAAGGTTCTCTTTGTCTTTGTTTAGAAATATTGAATTATCAAGGAAGTTTGAGTGTGTTTCTTTGAGTTTATCTTACTTGGAGTTTATTGAGCTTCTTGGATGTTTATTTATTTCCTCACACTTGTGACATCCTTGGCCACTATTTTTTAAAATAGTCTCTCTGATTCTTTGTCTCTTATCTTTGAACTTCCAAAATGTGTAAGTAAGGCTGCTTGATGGTGTCCCACATGTTTTAGGCTCTGTTCACATTTCTTTATATATTTTTTTCTCTTCCTTCCTTAATAATTTCAATTGCTCTTTCTTTAGGTTTGCTGATATTATGTTCTATCTGCTCAAGTCTGCTTTTAAATGTCTGTAGTGAATTTTTATTTCAGTTGTTTCACTTTGCATATCTAGAAATTTTTTTAGTTTTAAAAATAATTTTACTCTCTCTTTATTAATAATTTATTTGTTCATGACTCTCTGTGCTTTTTTGTTTATTCTATTACCTTCCTAAGATCATTAATTTAAAAAAAAATAATTTTTAGTAAGCCTGCCATTTGGACTGTGTAGGAAAAGCTTGTGTTAGTTATTTTTTTTTTCTTAGAATGAGCCCTAATTTTCTATTTCACTTTATGGTAAGTGATTTTGTTAACGCTGAAAAAGGGCATTTACATATGAAAATGCTGTAATTTTAAAATCAGATTTTCTTACTCTATGATTGGCTAGGGTTTTGTTTATTTATAATGCAGGCTCTTTCTGTCCTGGAAATCAGTCCTACTGAACTTCTTGTGTCTTTTTTGAGCCTGCACCATCTGAGGAAGATATGGTTAAGTTGCTTATTTATCATGTTTTTATTTATATATATTTACTTTTGAATGTTTTTGTACATAAATGTCTGACCTCTTAAAAGGAAAAAAAGTAAAATGAGGAAAAATATTCTGGCTCTCTAAATATTTTGAAAGTTGCTTGAGTAGGAGGAGGAAAAGGCTGCAAAAGCTTTCAGAAATGAAACAACGGCTATTCATCTATCTTGGGACCTCTATAATCAGAAGCAGCAATAGGTGCACAAGTCCTCCTGACATTTAAATGGCAGGGTCCTTTCTGTTTATCATGTCTCTTTCAAGCTGCTCCAGAGGTGTTTTCAAGGCAGCATACCACAGCGGTAGTTAATAAAGAATAAATAGCTGTTGTTTATCTATGCTATAAAATTGATAAAATTTAATTATTGTTTACAAATCTTGTTTTGGAAGCTGTAAACCTTCAGATAGACTCTGGAATTCCAAAATAATAGGATCATACCAATTCTGACACTGCACCTATTGTGTAGTTGAAGAGACAGATATATAGTGCTCTGTAGTCACTTGTCATGCTTTTCCCAGAACCTTGTATCATCTTACTTTTGGCCTCTGTGTCTTTACACATAAAGAAAGACTTTCAGATAAATCATATACATTAATTTTTATCTAAGGATGCATTTGTGCCAGTCTTTGACTTTTTATGCAAGAGCTCATATTTAAAGTTATTACAAGTAAAACATTACTTACTCTGAGATTTACTTATTTGCTTTCAATATTTTATTATTTTATTTTATCCTTAATTCTCCTTTGTTTATTTTTAAAATGTGGTTAATTTAGAAAAAAAATTGTATTTTTTATATTATAATTGGTTATATTTGGGACTTCAATTACTATTGTAAATTTAAAATAGCCTACTTTTAATAATACTAACTTGTTTCAATAACCTAAAGTTTAATTTAAACAATATAAAAATGTGCTGCTTTTGTGCTTTTCCATTCTTTTCAATTTATATTATTATCTCAGATTATATGTGTAAACACTGAGTGTTCAGTAATAGAAAACTTTGCCAGGGTTATAATAGTAATTTTCTCTTTTAGAGAAGGTTAGTAACAAATTCCTTTAACTTTCCTTTATCCAGGCATTTTTGCTCATGTAACATTTTACCAGTTACAGATTTCAGGTTTGATAGTATTTTTTCTATTAAAACTTTGATATCCTACTACCTTATGACTTCCATGGTTTCTGCTGAACAATCATCTGTTAATTTTAATCAAGATTCCCTTGAACATAACAAGTTGCTTATCGCTTTCTGGTTTTACAATTTTCTTTGTCTTAGCACTTGACTGACTATAATGTTTCTTGATGTGGCTATCGTTGACTATATTACAGTTGAAGATTTTGTCCTTCTTTAAATTTTAGATTCTGATTTCTAATTAAGTTTGGGAAATATTCAGTCATCTTTGCTTTCAGATTTTTTTTTGCCTCTTCTTTTTCTGTATTTATGAGGTGTCCATATTGCATGTATTGGTATAGCTCATAGTGTTCTATTAACTTCTTAGTATTTTTTCACTTAATTTTTTTTTATTTATCAGACTGGGTTATTTCAGTTTTCATTGCTTAAAATTGACTGAATACTTTCCAGCTCAGGTCTGTTGTGAAACTCCTTTATTGTCAATTTTCTTTCGGTCTTTGTACTCTTTATCTCAAATTTTTCATTTTTTTTACATATTTTTTCTCACTGATGCTCTCATAGTTTTCTTTCATTGGTTCTGTCATTTTTTCTTTTACACAACTTAAAACTGTTGTTTTAAATTCTTTGTCAATAAAATTTAGAATATTTTCAGTTTCTGCATTTACTTTACATTAGGCATACGTTTCTATTGGTTTTTATGTTTTTATTTTGCAGAAAACTATATTTGAAAAGTTGAAACGTGCTGACTCTGAATTATAGGTTTTCTTCATTTCTCCAAGGTATTTTCTTAGTTATTAAAACCTTAGCTTGCATTCCATTAGTGTTTTGAATAAGAGCAATGTTAAAACTATCACTTGTAAAAACTAAATCTGTATTAACATTCTTCTTTAACTCTCAGGAGGATTGCTTATAATTCTGTCTTAGCCTTCATTTTCTTCTCACATTGAAGCTATAGGTAAAATTGAGAATTAACACCTATTGTTTTATATACTTTTTGAGAATGTTTTCTGTCTTGAGCATGGACATGATTTTCTAAATCTTTCAATACATTAAACTGCTTTTGAATATTCAGATTTTTGCAAATAAAGGTCTCTTCAACTTTTGCTCCTTTTTATAGTTTGTCTGTTGTATAAAAACTGTTTTCTTTGTTCTCAGCAACTTAAAGTTTTATGACCAATTTCTGGCATTTTCAACCAAGAGTGAATTCTATGTTAGACAAAACAGAAATAAATGTGTTTCATCAATTCTTCATGTATCCCCTAGATAGACTAGAAAAAAACACAATAATTTAGCATATAAGGGCTTCTTTACTCCTTCCAGAAGCAGGATTCAGGGCCTCACATGGAAAATGTGGATTTCAATTTTTATAAGCCTTCATCTGTGCTTAGGAGGCAGAATGGAAATACACACAAAAAATTGCAATTTTATAATTGTCTCTCTTGATTACATGTTAACTTGGCTAATATGAGCTATTTATTTCAAAGGTCCAGGCTGCTTAGGAAAGGTATGAGTTTTCTTTAAATGGTTTGAAGTTGCCTTCCTTGCACTTTTCATTTTTATCTATGAAACATTGATTGTTTTCTATTCTTGTAGTTTATTTGTATCTATGAGATGTATGTTTTTTCTCTTAAAATTTTGTTTAAAATACTTAAATTATGTGTTGTACCTCGAATTTTGGATTTTAGATGTTAGATTTTTGTTTTAGTGGTTATATTATAGAGTTTTTTGTTTGCTTTTTATTAATTGAAGTTCTATATTCCATATAAAATATATGAGGCAAGATCAGTATATAGTATATTTTGGTTTTATATAAAACAAATGTACAATAATTTGCTTAAAAGTGACTTTCAAGTAAATATCTAAATAAAATAATAAGGAAATAATCATGTAAACATGCAGGAAGTTCAACCAGTATGATGATCCCTGGTGGAAGCCTGCTTAATTGTTTAAAAATTAGCCAGGTCCCTGTGGCTGGAGCAGGCTGTGGAAGGGAAACCATTATAGATGATGAGCTCATAGAAGTAACAGACAGTCCCTGTGATTGTCTAGGGATTTTATAGGTCAGTAGATTTCACGTTAGATTTCACTCTAAGCCTGGTTTATGACTGGAAGTGGAATTGGTAAGCTTGTTACTAGCATCTAGTACTGAGAGTTTAGAAATGCTGCTAAATATCCTATAAGCTAGAGTATTAGGCACCTTTGAAAAATTAAGAGTGTTGAACAATCTCTCAAGAAAATTATTTTAAAAACACACATTTAGAATTATTTGATATCACATTTGAAGATTTCTTAACTCAATTTTTGGTTTCTTATATCAGAAGGATTTTCAAAAGCTTATGTAATGTTTAGTTCATTCAAGTTAGGGTAAGCATTAGTAAAGTGAAGTCAGTTTAGTTAATAAATGACTACAAACTAAACCATATATTTTCTTATTTTCTGCTATTTTTCCCATTGCTTTTTCAATATTTCTGTAAACCACTAATATAGAAAATTAAAACTCTAGGCAGTCTCTATTTCGGGGGTAACAAGGGAGAAAACTCAATCAAGGGCCTTTGGGATAGATCTAATCTTGACTAGAGCTTGAAGGTATACGTAAAACACGGGCACACCTGTGCTTTGGCACACTATGTTATGCATTCACATTGTGCATACACATTGTCTTATGACATGAAAGTTGCTAAGATATTACAATAAGCAAGCCAAATAAAAACCAAGCTTTCAAAGATTATAGCTGGAGTTAGAGAATTTTCGCTTTTGCTAAAATTGTTGAGTAGAATAAATACTCAAGTATCTTCCACTGCTTAAAAAATATTTTATAGAAGTTTGCATAGTGGGTATCTTTTATCAGAATTATTTATCTTCCATCTTTTTCTAAGATAATAAAAGATAAATGCATTCACAAAAATGCATATTAGACAATAAGATAAATTAAAGATAAATGAATGAGGAAATTAATGTGAGAAGAAAAATATGTGAAAATATTAAGGTAAGTCCAAAAAGGAGGTGAATTCATGCAATGTAAAATCTTTATGTTTGAATCAGAAATTTGTTTCAGAACGTTAGCAGGTAGCAATATGGTAGTTATCCACATTTATAATGCTCAAGTTGTTCTCATTTAGCACCTGACCTGTTGGCTATGTAACTGATGCTAGAGTTTTCTCCACTAGCAGAACTTCTACTCGTATAGAGCTTTCTTTTCCTCCAAAATTAATAAATTGCTATTCAATGCCTAAAGTAAAAAGACATAATTTTTTCCCCTAATATACTAAGGGAGAGCTATGCTATTTAGACACATTCTTGGAAAAATGCAGACAGCATGAAATCAAGGCATCGGACAATATTAAGTAGTGTACAGAAGCTGACATTATTTGTAGAAAAGAGTTATTCAGGCAAAACTTGTAGCGAAAGAGGTATATTTACTGTGCTTTACTTACTAATTTTTCAAAGTGCTGGCACTGCTTTAATATTATTATTGTTATTATTATTTGTAAAAGCTATTTCACTGAGGCAGTTACGTTATAGATTGCTTAATTTTATAACTGATTTAAATGGTTACATTTTACCATGATTACAGAAACAGTATTTCCTAAATCTGTGTGAAAGTTTAAATTGTCATTTTCTAAGAAGACATAATATACCTCTATTCTTAAAGAAATAAATAGTATATACTAATTCATAACTATTTATTAAGCAACTCCTCTGATGTAGATTCTAGAGCCTTGACAGTAACTAAATAGAAACATGAGTACCTTTGGAGTGTTTGTTTACAGAGATCATTATGGACCATTTAAACACACACACAGACACGTATATATGTGAGTTTTTTGTACAGAATTAGTTTATTTTATGACTCTCAAATCAGCTGACTTATTAAAATAAGATTTACAGTTTTAGTATTTATTCAAAGAATGTTTTTTGAGAATACATACAAAAAATTGTATACTTTGTCATCACTTTATGTGTGTGTATCATATATATGTGTGTATATATATATGTATCTCTATATATGTAGAGATACACACACACACACACACATACATACAAAGGGTACAATATGTCCATATATTGGAGGTTATGAAGTATTAACTTACATGATCACAATAGGCTGTTTGCTAGCTGAGGAACAAGGAGAAAAACTCCAAGTCCCAAAACTGAAGTAGTTGGAGTCTGGTGTCTGAGGGTAAGGAGCATCCAGCACAGGGGAAACATGGAGGCTTTCGAGGCGAGGCCCATCTCACCTTTTCTCATGTTTCTGTCTGCTTTACATTCGCTAGAAGCTGATTCGATTGTGCCCACCAGATTAAGGTAGGTTTGTCTTCCCCAGCCCCCTGACTCAAATGTTAATCCATTTTTGGGAAACTACCAAGAGACATGCCCCAGATTAATACTTTGTATCCCTCAATCCAGTGAAATTGACACACAGTATTAACCGTCATATGTTCACCCTTTTTCAAGTTGAATCTATAGACATCTCCTGAGATAATACATACTCTTCAAATAAAGACAAAAATGAGGTTATAATTACACCTAACATAATACAAAAATGAGTCATATTTACACCTAACATAATAGAACTATCCTTCATACAATCAGGAACACACCAATCTCCAACCCGAACACTATTATGTAAAGTTACCTATACTCAAATGATGATATGAAGTCAATATATCTTATGTCACATAATAAAAGGAAAGAAAAAATGAAGATATTTTCTTACTACATGTATACATATGCACAAACTTTTTTTTTTAGCAAAAGAAGGAGGAAATACTTAAGACAATTAAAGTCCTCATTTCTGCAGCTGGTCACGTGTTTTCAGGTGGTATGGATGACTGGCTTCTACTCCCCATTCTGCATTTTCTTTGCCTTCAGTAAGGTATTCAGCAGGTCATTTTTTTTTCCTGATTTGTGACCCAAACCTTAATTCCTGAAGGATCTGAACCATTTGTAGTCCTGCCAGGATTGGGCTCTTGTAGTTTCCTATTGACCTTAATCACAGGTCATAGTAATACTAAGACACATCCTAATGTATCTTCTCTATTCCCTTCATACTCTTCCTTACCTAAATTGTGGAGCAGTAGACTGATTTCCTCCTTGATAGTTTGCATCAATCACCTCAGTCAACACTGTACTTTCCTTCTTAGACTGTTGACTCAAAGGTAGGAGAAGGCCAAAGTGTTTGGGTGTCAATCTTAACTTCCAGTTTAATGGAATCATGGCCGTGTCTTCTGGTGGCAGCATTCCTCCCTCTGGAACTAAGATCTCTAGGCCAACAGAACTTAACGTCTTGGAAACAGAAAGCAAAAATGTTGCTAGTGGATCTCTTGGGGTGATGGTGAGTGGTGACATTTCTACTTACAACCCTTGATTTTTGGACCCATGAATTCTTGCTGTGAGAGAAACAGTACAACATATTGGATGCTGATTCACAGCACACATGGTCTTCTGGAGAACTTTGCCACAGGCCCTTCAAAGTATTCTCTCATAATTGGCATTGTAATTGTAACTTCAAAGAGCCATTTTACCATTCTATTTATCTAGCTGCTTCAGGATGATAAAAAGCATGGTAACACCAGAGAATTTAATGAGGAGAAGCCAACTGCCACACTTCTTTAGCTTTAAAGTGAGTGCCTTGTTCAGAGGAAATGCAGCGTGGAATAACATGATGATGAATAAAGCATTTTGTGAGTCCACTGATGGTAGTCTTCGTGGACGCATTGCATGCAGAATAGGCAAAGCCATGAGAAATGTAAAAATTTATTCCAGTGAGGACAAACCTTTGCCCTTTCCATGATGGAAGAGGTCCAATATATTCAACCTGCCATCATGTAGCTGTCTGATCACCCTGAGAAATTGTCCCATAACATGGGCTCAGTGTTGGTCTCTGCTGCTGGCAAATTGGGCACTCATCAGAGGCCATAGCCAGGTCAGCCTTAGTGAGTAGAAGCCCATGTTGCTGAGTCCATGTGTAACCTCCATTCCTGCCAACATGGCCACCTTGTTCATGGGCCCATTGGGCAATGCCAGGCTGGGGAAAGAGGCAGAGTGGTGTCCACACAATGGGTCATTCTATCTGCTTGATTACTAAACACTTTCTCTGCTGAGGTCACTCGTTGGTGAGTACTCACATAAAATAGAAGTATCTTCAGTTTTTCACCACTCAGAATGACCCATCCACTTATCTTTTCCCCAAATTTCTTTGTTGCCAATATTCTAATCATGCTTCTTCCAAGTGCCAGACCTCCAGACAAACCATTGACTAAGGCCCATTAATCAGTATATAAACACATATTTGGCTGTTTCTCCTTCAATGCAAAGTGAACAACCAGGTTCACTGCTTGAAGTTTTACCCTCTGGGAAGATGTATCTTCACCGCTGTCCTTCAGGGATGTCCTAGAAAGGAGCTGTAGTGCTTCAGCTGTCCACTTTTGGGTGGTGGCTGCATATTGTGCAGAACCACTTGTGAACCAGGTCCCAGTGTTAGTTCCTCTGTCAACTGATCATAAATAACTTCCCATTAGGCCATCGATGCAGGCTGGAGGAGAGAAGGTGCCATGGCCGGAGTGGAGACCATGGGCATTTGAGCCACTTTCTCATGTAACTTACTGTGCCTTAGGACCTGCTCAAGCCTTGTCACATATATACCACTTCCAATTGATAATGAAATGTTCCTGTGCACAACCCACTTTATGAGTAGATGGGTTTGAAAGCACACAGTTTATGATAGGCAGTTCAGCTCACACAGTGATTTGATGACCCATAGTCAAACGTTCAGTTTTCACCAAAGCCCAGTAATGGGCCAAGAGCTGTCTCTCCAAAGCAGAATATTTGTCTACAGAAGATGGCAGGGCATTGTTGCAAAATCCTAGAGGGCTGTGCTGTGATTCACCTGTGGAAGCCTGGCAAGGGTTCCAAATAGCATTCCTATCTGCCACTGACACATCAAGCACCATCGAATATGTGGGTCACGTGGCCCAAGTGGCAGAGGAGTTTGCCCAGCAGACTGCACCTGTTGCAGAGACTTCTCCAGTTCTGGATGCCACTGGAAGCTGGCAGCCTTTGGGTCACTCGATAAGTGGGCCAGAGTGACACATCCAAATGAAAAATATGTTGCATCCAAAATCCAAATAGTCCTACTAAGCACTGTGCCTCTTTCTTGGTTGTAGGAGGTGCCTAATGCAGCAACTTATTCTTTACCTTAGAAGGAATATTTTGATAGGCTCCACAAGACTGGACCCCTAGGAATATTACTGAGGTAGGAGGTCTCTGAATTTTAGTCAGATTCATTTCCCATCCTCTGGTACAAAAATGTCTCACCAATAAGTCCAGTGTTCTTGCTACTTCTTGCTCACTGGATCATATCAGCATAATGTCATTAATTATATGGACCAGTGTGATATCTTACAGAAATGAAAAGCAATCAAGTTCTCTCTGAATAAGATTCTGACATGAAGACAGAGAGCTGATATACCTCTGAGGTAGGACAGTAAAGGTATATTGCTGGCCTTGTCAGCTGAAGGCAAATTTCTTCTGTTGGGCCTTATAGTTATTAATAAAGAAAGAGGCATTTTCCATGTCAATGGCTGCATACCAGTTACCGGGAGATGTATTAATTTGCTCAAACAATAAAACTACATCTGGTAAAGCAGCTGCAATTTGAGTCATAACTTAGTTAAGTTTTGATAATCCACTGTTGTTCTCCAAGATCCATCTGTCTTCTACACAGTCCAAATGAAAGCGTTGAAGGAAAAGGTGCTGGTAATTACCACTGCTGCATCTTTGAAGTCCTTGATGTTGGCACTAATCTTTGCAGTCCTCTCAGGAATGTGATATTGTTTTTGATTTACTATTTTTTATGTATAGGCAGCTCTATTGGCTTCCATTTGAACTTTTTCAGTGTAGTAGCCCTCACCCTACACATCAGGGAGCAAATGTGGGGTTCTGCCAGCTGCTAAGTATGTCTATGCCAATTATGCATTCTAGCACCGGGAAAATGACTCCAAGAGGAGTCCTGGGATGCATAGGACACTCTGTAAGTCCAACCTAAGCTAAATCTCCATTCATTACCTGACCTCCTTAAGCTCCTACTTTAATTGTGTGACCACGATTATATTTTCAGTAATGCAGTGGGGTCATTCCTCAAGGGAAACTGGTGTCTCTTTCTTTCAAGGGGTTCTTGGTCTTTAAACTGGCTCTAGTTTGGAAACTGATTGGGGAAGGGGCTGTAATACTCTGCTTTTATAATTCAAAGTAGTCTGTTTTTTTATTTGACCCAAAAGTTATCTGTTTGTTTAACTTAAGTGTGAATGCAGTAGGCTTTCTCTCAATTTCACTTCCAGGAACACCTTGATTAATTAGTTAATGCCAGAGCTCCATAGGAGTCACATTATTGTAATTGCCACTTCCCTTATTTACACCCACCTTGCCTTTGATGGTTGAGTACTGCCACTTGGCGCCTGCCACCTGGGGATCCAACTTTTCTCATCCTATTTAAATTTTGCCGTTGAGTGATTGTGTTTCCCACCATTAAATCTGACATACACAGAAGAGAAATTACAGGGCTATTTACAGATGCAAGTCCTTCCCTCACAAATCTATTTCACAAGGCATTGGTAAAGGGCATCTCTTCCAGACCCTCCAAAGTGGAATGAGTAAAGTCTAAGGAGATGAATCCACTCCGCCATCCCAATTTCCCTAAGCCTCCAGATCTCTCTCTCTACATTAAGCCAACGGAGACTAGGCATTTCCAGCTCACTCACAGTGGGACATCTTTTAATCCATATTTCAGCTAACCAGGAAAATCAACTATTAGAATTTTTTTAACTACCTAAGCAGCAACATTAAATGCAAATTCCCTGCTTAGTGGGCTCTACTCAATAAATTCAGTCTGATACATTTCCATGATTCCTCTTCCCCCATTATCCCCTACACTTAATATTCATGCTCATACCTGTCCTCCAGATTTCTGTTCAAATAAATGAGATAACTCTAACAGTTCTTTTTGAGTGTAGCACACCACTTCATGGGTCACACTCTCCACCTCACCTCTAGGAGCCCACCAGAACTTTAATCTACTTATAGGTCTAGAAACAAATGGAGGTGTTGGGGATGGCTTCTGAGGAGAAATGATATTATCTTTCCTGGAAACTGCCTCAGGGGTGGAAAACACTGTTGCCTCAGCCAGTGCACAGTTTCTTTCTTCAGACAGAGTTGGAAAGGCTGATGGCAGTATGGATCATAAAGGGGATGTTGCCACTTCTTGAGATGAGGAAGCCATTCTTTCTGGCACCAAAAAAAAAAAAAAGTTCATCAGAGTTAACCACTCACTGTCACCAGATTCATCAGGGTTCTCCTACACATCTCTATTATGATTTACAGGGTCTGTTTCTTTTTCAATCAATGCCCTCACTATAACAGTAGACACCTGGTGAGGCTGTGCATGCATCTTTTATTGCAGGTCAGTGACTCACATGATAAGAGCCTGTGTCTGCTTTTCCACAATTTTAGCTCTTGCTCTACAAATGATAAGATTCTCACTCAGGGCAAAATTAGCAGATTTGAGCCTCAGTATCTGCTTCTGAAGTTGGGAGACAGTATCCCTGAGTTCATCATTTTCTTTCATCATATTGTTCACTGAACTTAGGAGCTACCAAGCAGCTTCACTGTGTTCTTTGGTTCTCCACATATGGTCAAAGGTATTATGTATAGAATCACTAAACTCCTTGATTCTCACAATCAGTGAATCAGGAGTGCCAAATTAATTTATTTTGCATAAGTCTCTAAATGGTTTCCACCAAGGACTATCAGTGTTCTCCATATTATTAGAAGTAGAGTCCACAGACTTTTTGCATCAAATTATATTAAACAGCCAACTTCAAAACCTCCAAAACCAATGAAAGAACTTTATTTTTAATGTTCTGTTCCTCTAGAACCATTTCTGTTACCAACATCTGTATTAGTCAGGATTCTTTCACAGGGACAGAACTAATATCTATAGAAGAGTTTATTAAGTATGAACTTACGTGATCACAATGTCCCACAATAGGCTGTCAGCAAGCTGAGAATCAACGAGAGCCAATCTGAGTACCAAAATTGAGCAAGTTGGAGTCAGCCATGTGAGGGCAGACAGCATCCAGCACAGGAGAAAGATGTAGGCAAGATGTTAGTCCATCTCGCCTTTTTACGTTTTTTGCCTGTTTTATGTTTACTGGAAGCTGAATAGATTGTGCCCTCCAGATTAAGGTTGAGTCAGCCCACTGACTCAAATGTTAATCTGTTTTGGGCAACACTCACACAGACACACCCAGGATTAATACTCTGTAAGTCTCAGTCCGGTTAAGTTGACACTCAGTATTAACCATCACAGGCTCCTGGGCATAAATTCGTTGCTCCCCACCGAAGCTCCACCTTCAAGCCAGTGACATCTTGAAGTCTGGGGCATAGGCTGATGGACAAGAATGGGAAATGATTTTACTTTTATTAAGTAAATTGCTTTATTAAGTAAATTTACTTTAATTAAATTTAAAGTAATTTTTATTTAAATTTACTTTAAAATTAATAAAAGTAAATTTACTTTTATTAAGGAAATTGCTGCCCAATAATCCAATCAGCAAGCACTTTATTTTCTTTGAATGATGTAAAATTACTGGATTCAGCCACACTGGAAGACTTGACAGACTACCAACCAGCTGCGGAGAGGACTGACCCACTGAAGGGCCTTCTCTCTGCTGAGAGCTAAGGAGGCATCAGAACTTTCAACAGCACACTGGAGCTACCCACCACAGACTTTGCTGAGAGCTAGGGAGATAACAGAGCAGCCAGATAGACGGATAAGCTACCTACTCCAAGATCTCTTCTATGCTGAAACTTAGATGTTGGGACCACCAGATATGAGGATTTCCCCACTGCAGGGCCTTCTCTCTGCACGGAGCTTAAAACTGGGCAAGATGACCAGCTGGATGGAGAAGATACCCGCTCCAGGTTCTCCTCTCTGCTGAGAGCCGGATAGTAATCACTGACACCCTGCCTTTAGAGAGGAGCTACCCACTCTCTTTGCTGAGAGATGGACACTCATCGGGACATCTGGCTTGTGTGGAGGAGCTACCCAATGAGGGGCTTTTCTGTGTTCTCTCATTCACTACAGCTTCTCTTTACATTGCACACTCTTTAATTGTCCATCTATGTCTTTATTCCTGAATGCAGAACAATTATTTGAGATAAGCTGAATGGTGAAGCTGAAAGAGTTGTAACACAAACTGGGGGAAAAAAAAGATATACCTTGCTCATCACATTGTGGAAGACAAAAATAAGACGAGAGCTATGACCCTTCAGGGTGCACAGACCTAGGCACTCTCAAAGCCAGGGCTGTGACATTTTCTTTAGGGCTTTGAAGTTTCTGGCATCTTCAAACTTCTGGGCACAACTCCATTCCTTAGTATAAGCTATGAAAGCTGCTTGCAGAATGCCTGATCCAGCTGCAGCTTCTCAGTGAGATGGCACTTCTCTTGGCACCTGAAATTTCCTGCCCTGCCACAGCTGGCATGCCTGGCTGTGTGTAGTGGCTGATGCCCACACTCGCTCATACACCCCTTGCCACTCTATGCCACATTTGCCCTTGGCAGGTGTTAAATCCATGCCTATAATGCAAGGGGAAGGCAGCCTCTCAGGCAGAGTGGGTATAACAAGCTTAGCAGGCCTTAGCAAAACTGAGGCAAAGGCACTACTGGCCACAGTGGTTTCCATCCGGCAAGGTGACTCCACCAAAATTCCATGACAAAAGAAGCATAGCTACTTGTGTTTAAGTGCCTTACATCTACTGGATCTTGAAATATTGATAATTGAGTGTCCTACAATTTGAGATATAGATACATAGATAGATAGATAGATAGATAGATAGATAGATAGATAGATAAATTGTGTGTGTGTATCTGTGTGTATGTGTGTGTGTGTCACAGTCTCACTGTGTCACCCAGGCTGGTGTGCAGTGGTGTGACCTCGGCTCACTGGCATTTGCATTGGGTCACCTAATCTCTCTTACTTACACTCTCTTACTCTTTTTATTCTATGAGAATATATTTCTAAAATATATGGCATTGAGGTTCAGATTGGCATTTTTCTGGTAGATTATAAAGTTTACTGATGTAACAGAATTTCTTATTCTTGGATTTTGACATTTTGTACTCATGTAATTTCTTTTTGTGAGGAACTTTTGCTGCACTCCATAGGATTATGAGTAGCATTTCTGGCCTCTTCCACTAAGTGCAATAGTAAACTATTTTTCCATGGTAGAGATACGCAAATATGTTTGTATCTTGTGGAAACAAAACTGATGAAATTTACTATTCTAGAGAGTTCTAAAGAAGAAATAGGAACTTGCTTTTAAAAATTTTGCACAAAATTTACATGAGATCTCACTTTGCTCTAACTCTTTGCTCTTCTAACATCCTGTAATTTTCTATCATTATCATGTAAGTTAAGCCTATAATACTTTTCCTTTTGCAGGATAGTGTTAAAAACACAGGTTAAATGGATGTTGAAGAGCTGCTATAAGAGGCCTCATTTGGGTAAGAAAAGAGTTATTGGTCTTTATCTCAAAAAGCTCACCATCATGAATTATTAGGGAAATGCACAACTAAGCTGCAATGAGATACCATCTGAGGCCAGTCAAAATGGTGATTACTAAAAAGCCAAGAAACAACAGATGATAGTGAGGCAGTGCAATGATAGGAATACTTTTATATTGTTGTTCAGAATGCAAATCAGTACACACTGTGAAAAAGTGTGTGATGATTCATCAAGTATCTAGAACCAGAAATACCACTGTACTCAGCAATTACATTACTGGATATATACTCTTCCAAAAACAAGCTATTCTATTACAAGGATACATGCATATGTATGTTTACTACAGAGCTACTCGCAGTAACAAAAACATGGAATTAACCCAAATGCCTATCAACAACAGCCTGAATAAAGAAAACGTGGTACATATACACAATGAAACTATATGCAGCCATAAAAAGGAATGAAATTATGTCCTGTGAAGGGGCATGGATGAAGCAGGAAGCCGATATCCTCAGTAAGCTAACACAGAAACAAAACACACACACACACAAAAAACACTGCATGTTCACACTCATGCATGGGAACTGAACATTGAAGACACATACACACAGGGAGGGAAAAAACACGCACTTGGGTCTGCCGGGGGGATAAAAGAGATTCAGGATAAATAGCTAAATCACGTGGGGCATACTACCTATGTAATGGGTTGATATCTGCAGTCAACAACCATGGCACGTGGTTAATTGTGAAATAAACCTGCATGTCCTGCATATGTACCATGGAATTTAATATAAGATAAAATTAAAAATAAGAAGGGATTTATTTTTGTAGAGTTTATAGTAACTTTTAAATATGTGCCACACTTTACTGAAGACTTTTTTTTTTTATTTAAATATGGCATCTCTCTCTGTTGCCAGACTGGAGTGAAGTGGTGCGATCTTGACTCACTGCAATCTCTGACCCCTGGGTTCAAGTGATTCTCCTGCCTCAGTTTCCTGAATAGCTTGAATTACTTGTGCATGGCACCATACCCAGCGTTAAGATATTTTTTTAAAATAATTACAAATCAGTTTTTGACAAACTGCATTGAAAAGTAAATAGTGTATTTCAATTCTTAGTTGATTGAATTTCTTCCCTTTTATTTTTAGAATGATATCTCACACTGTCCCTTTGGCTGGAGTGCAGGGTGCAATCTTGGCACCCTGCAACCACCTGACTCACAGTTTCAAGTGATTAATCTTCCTCAGCCTCTTGATTAGCTGAGATTACTGGCAGACACAACCACAGCTGATGGGGTTTCCCCATATTCTACAGACTCTTCTCTAACTCCTGACCTCAAGTAATTTGCGTACCTTATCCTCAGAACATGCTGGGACTACAGATGTGAACCACCGTGCCTGGCACTTGGTTGAATTTATAATTGAGAAAAACATACATCTTGCAAAAATTTATTTTTATATCATATTTTTATGAGTTTATATATCTCATAATTCATGAAAAATAATAAAGCTTTAATGCCTTTTTATATTTTAAATGAATTTATTTCCATTTTTATGTGATTAAAAGAGTAGGTTAATTTAGAATGTTATTTTTCTTTTGGGTAAATTTCTCAGGTTTTAGAAATTTCTTTAAAAATCTACTCTGGGAAAATAATTACATTTATTGATTTTACTTGGGGTTTTTTTAGGAATTGCTTATGTAAGAAAATTCAAATTTGTTTCAAGATACAATGAGGTGTTTAATTATGTCAAATAAAATATTTTCTTTGAAAAGAATTTTTTTACCTATATTTTCTACAAATAATACTGTGATTACTTTTTCTGACTTACTAGAAATTAATTGATTGTTTCATCTTCCCTGCATAAAAAGCTCACCTGCAATATTTAAGAAGTAAACAACTGCCAGCCGAGCTGGCTGTTCCAGTCTGTCGCTCACCAAACACCATCAATTCTGCTTTTGAGCTACTTGTAGCACCAGCTATTGGCTGTGTAAAAAAATCTTAAAAAGATAGTAGACTGTTTGGCTGAAATATATTACACAGACAAAACAATAGCTAGTGAGTATTTTAAATTATAAAGCTGCTTTTGTTCATTAATCATAGTTTTGTGTGAAATTCTATTTTCTCATTTAGATAAAATCAACTCATGGGTTTTTTTTTGTCAACTATTTTAACATTCTGTAGCCATCAGGTATATAATTAAAACAATTTTAGTTGGAGAATACAATTTATTTAATATATATTTATTTAATGCTCCCCTATAGTTGGCTTTGGTAACTTAACACAGTGAGTTGTTTTAATCACATGTGAAAAAATACTGAAAATTTAGAGTAATGAGGAGTCAAATGTAATACTATAAAAAGTTTATATTTAAAATGTATGCATTAAAAAGTTTTTCATAACCCACAAATTGAAGTTGCTTAATGTTATTTTAGTTAAATTCTAAGAAAGTTATGGTTTAAAAATCGTGACATGAGAAGAGAACATTTGAGTGCATTTTATTGCTTCTAAATACCACATCAGTCCCACAAAGAGGGTAGTAATGTTGAAATCTTACACAGAACTAAAACAAGTTTGAGGTAATGTAAGTAAATTAACAAATAATAACATAAAATTTAGTTTATTTCAAGAGAAAACTGAATGTTAAATATATAATTAACAGCAGCATTCAGTATAGACCTTTAATTAGTAAATGTGAAATTATATTTATATTTTTATCTGTGGGAGTACATTTTCTAGCACATTGTAGGATTTTCTAGCTAAACTCACTGCTTAAAAGTTCAGATCTTTATTTGTCTTGTGGGTTCTTTATAGAGGAAAGAGTTTACTTTTGAAAAACACCTTTTTCTTAATTTATTTAACTATTGTATTGACATAGTAAATACATATTTTCAAAAGAGTTTTTTGAAACAAACACTGCTGTTGTTAAACTATTTAGCTAACAGTTTTATGGGGTTAAAATATAATTCCAAATACATAAGAGGATATGTACCGCAAATTATTAACTTGCCACCAATATTATATTCCTGGTCCAGAGATTATGTCTGTATGTGCACTAATCCATGCATGTAGCTATTTGGTTATTTTTTACACAAATGAAAATATACAATATACAGCATTATTAACTTTGTTTTGTATTTAGTCAAACACCTGTCAGTATATGAAGATCTGTTTAATTCTGATTTGTAGCTACATAACTTGCAGTTCAATGTGCTCTAATTTATGCAATCCATCTCTAAGATGAATTGATGTGTAAGCTGCATTATGTTTTACACAAAATAGGGAAGAATTTATAGTCCTTACAGTGATTTTAAATACACAAGACAAATAAATTATTGCTATTTACTGAGGAATAAAGCAGTTATTTATGTGAAGGTTACAGTTTTATGAGTCACAACAATAACTTTATATGAAGTGCTCAATTAAAAGTGAGAAAACCCTAATGTTTTATTTATATAAAGTTCTGATGACAATTAATTAAATACACTTATTTTAGGCCCAAAAGTTTTATAGTAAGTAAACTTGTAATGATTAAGGCTAAGTCCATGATTAACACATGAAAATTTTAATATTATACCATCTTATATAACTCTTTCCGAGAAAGCATTTTTTCTTATCTCAGCTTGTAAAGCACTTCCTGAGTGGGAATATCAGCTCCTGCTGGACCACGCCCACCAAAAAGATTTGTGGAACTCAAAGAGGGTGGTGCTACCTATCACATAAATTCTGTGACCCAGCAGCTATACCTGATCCCCGTCATCAGCAGCAGTATTTTAACCATTGAAAAGACAGGTAGCAACACAGGCGATGATTGCAGAGCTGTTAAAGGAGTGAGAGGTGACAGCGTGCCGGCAGTCCTCACAGCCCTCGCTCGCTCTCGGCGCCTCCTCTGCCTGGGCTCCCACTTTGGCGGCACTTGAGGAGCCCTTCAGCCCCCGCTGCACTGTGGGAGCCCCATTCTGGGCTGGCCAAGGCCGGAGCCGGCTCCCTCAGCTTGCAGGGGGGTGTGCAGGGAGAGGCGCCAGCGGGAACCGGGGCTGCGCGCGGCGCTTGCGGGCCAGCTGGAGTTCCGGGTGGGCGTGGGCTTGGCGGGCCCCACACTCAGAGCAGCCGGCCCGCCCTGCCGCCCTGGGCAATGAGGGGATTAGCACCCGAGCCAGCGGCTGCGGAGGGTGTATTGGGTCCCCCAGCAGTGCCAGCCCACGGGCGCTGCGTTCGATTTCTCGCCCGGCCTTAGCTGCCTTGCCGCGGGGCAGGGCTCGGGACCTGCAGCCCGCCATGCCTGAGCCTCCTACCCCCTCCCTGGGCTCCTGTGCGGCCCCAGCCTCACCGATGAGCGCCGCCCCCTGCTCCAGGGCACCCAGTCCTATTGACCACCCAAGGGATGAGGAGTGCGGGCGCACGGCGCGGGACTGGCAGGCAGCTCCACCTGCAGCCCCGGTGCGGGATCCACTGGGTGAAGCCAGCTGGGCTCCTGAGTCTGGTGGGGACGTGGAGAACCTTTATGTGTAGCTCAGGGATTGTAAATACACCAATCAGCACCCTGTGTCTAGCTCAGGGTTTGTGAATGCACCAATCGACACTCTGTATCTAGCTACTCTGGTGGGGACTTGGAGCACCTTTGTGTGGACACTCAGTATCTAGCTAATCTGGTGGGGATGTGGAGAACCTTTGCGTCTAGCTCTGGGATTGTAAACTCACCAATCAGCACCCTGTCAAAACACACCCCTCGGCTCTACCAATCAGCAGGATGTGGGTGGGGCCAGATAAGAGAATAAAAGCAGGCTGCCCTCGCCAGCAGTGGCAACCGGCTCGGGTTCCACGCTGTGGAAGGTTTGTTCTTTCGCTCTTTGCAATAAGTCTTCCTACTGCTCACTCTTTTGGTCCACACTGCCTATATGAGCTGTAACACTCACCGCAAAGGCCTGCAGCTTCACTCCTGAAGCCAGCGAGCCCACGAGCCCACAGGGAGGAACAAACAACTCCAGACATGTCGCCTTAAGAGCTGTAACACTCACCGCAAAGGTCTGCAGCTTCACTCCTGAGCCAGCAAGACCATGAACCCACCAGAAATAAGAAACTCCGAACACATCTGAACATCAGAAGGAACAAACTCCGGACACGCCGACTTTAAGAACTGTAACACTCATCGCGAGGGTCCGCAGCTTCATTCTTGAAGTCAGTGAGACCAAGAACCCACCAATTCTGGACACAGGAGGGCCTCCATCTTCCAGACCCCAGAATAGTAGATCCACTGACAGCTTGAATTTTGTGCCTGGAGAAGCCACAGATACTCAATGCCAGCTGGTGGAAACAGTTGGGAGGAAGGCTGTACCCTGCAAAGCCTCATGGGTGCAGGTGCACAAGACCATGGGAACCCAGCTCTTGAAGATCATTCTGAAGCTTTAAATTGTACTGCCTCCTTGGATTTTAGACTTTCATGGGGGCTGTAGCCCCTTTATTCCAGTCAGCTTCTCACATTTGGAATGGCTGTACTTTTCCAATGCCTGTACCCTACTATATCTAAGAAGTAACTAACTTGCTATCAATTTTACAGGCTCATAGGGAGAAAGAACCTGCCTTGTCTCAGATGAGATATTGGACTTTGACTATTGAGTTAGTGCTGAAGTGAGTTGAGGCATTGCAGGACTATTGGAAAAGCATGACTGGTTTTGAAATGTGAGGAAATGAGATTTGGGAGGGGCCAGGGTTGGAATGATATGGTTTGACTGTGTCCCCACCCCAGTTGAATTTTTACATGTGGTGGGAGGAATGAGATGGGGGGTAATTGAATCATGGAGGCAGATTTTTTTGTGCTGTTCTTGTGACAGTGAGTAAGTCTCATTATATCTGATGCTTGAAACATCAGTTTCCTTGCAGAAGCTCTCTCTTTGCCTGCTGCCAACTGTGTAAGACGTTAATTGCTCCTCTTTTCCTTCTATCGTGATTCTGAGGCCTCCCCAGTCATGTGGAACTGTCAGTTCCTTAAACCTCTCTTTCTTTTATAAATTGTCCAGTCTAGCATATGTCTTTAGCTTGAAAATGGACTAAGACAGTACAAATATCAGATTGACTGATAAAGCTCTGTGACTTTAATTTCACAGTCAAGTCAAAGATGTAAATCAAATACAATTGTGTGCAGGTCTCTGAAAATTCTTATCAACCTTTTTCTAGTTCAGTAACATTTTATTAACATATTTTAACATAATGCTGAAAGAGTTGTTAAATCAAGTTATAATGTACTCTATACTTTTATAATTATTGCTAAGCTAAGACTACAGTAATTTTAATTGTTTTAAGAGACAAAGTCTCTATTGCTACAGCTGGAATGAATGCAGTGGTGCAATTATAGCTAACTGCAGCTTCTAAATTATGGGCTCATGTTTTCCTGCTGCCTTAGCCTCCCAATGAGCTGGGTCTATAGGAAGAGGACAGTAGGCTCAGCTAATTATTTAATTTGTTTATTTATTTTAATTTTTTTGTTAGAGACAGAATTTTGCAATGTTGCTGAGGCTGGCCTCAAACTCTAGGCTTAAGGTAATCCATCCACCTCGGCATCATATAGTGCTAAGATCACTGGTGTGAGCCACCATATCTAGCTAATTTTTAAAAACTTTTTGTAGAGATGGTGCTTCATTATTTTGCCAAACCAGGTTACAAACACCTGCCCTCAAGGTTATTTTTGCCTTGGCCTTTACTATTTTTGGAATTACAAATATAAGCCACAAAACCTGGTCTAAAAATGATCTACATTTTTAACTATAAGTTAAAATTTTATCTGGTAGAGATAAAGCTTCTTATGTAATGATAAAGTAGAACATGGTGTGATACAAATTTATTGGTGTGTGAGCCAATTTTTAAATAATAAATGCACATTTAGATTAGAGATTTTTAAGTTTACTAAGAATTCTCTCACAATTACTACAAAAATGTTTATTGTGTATTTAAAATTTGAAATAATATTTTTATGGTTAGGAAAATGTAAAGCAGTATAATAGAGAACCAAACCAATTGTAAGAACTCTACGAATGAAATGCAAAGCCATGTACAAGTCACCAGAAGGACAACAAACTTTTTTTTTGGTGTGAAATCCAGTGGTAATGTGGAATATACCAGCAATTTGTGTACTAATCATAGTAATTTATTGTGCTTTAGGCAGAAAAGTAATTCTACTCTTCAAATAAAAATACATATACAGTCAAAAACATTTGTATTTTCAAGCACTTTCTTAATAAAATTTTTGTTAGTTAACACTAATTCTTAGTGATTTACTTACCACTTCACTAACCCATACTGCAAACTAGTGCTTGAGTAGAAAGTAATAATTATTATTATAAATAATGCTCTTTTATATATCCATATATTAAGAACCACTATTCTAATGTACAGATATATTACATTTTACACTTTAAATAACTAAACCAAAAAGGAACTCTTTCACATAAATTAAGGCTAATGATTCCATAAGAAAAGGTAAATGAAGCCTAAAGAAAAAAATTAAACACATGTTGATGCTTTGTAAGGAATCACGCAAGCCAAACACAAATTATTTTTTATTAGTAAGAAGCTAATCTAAAAGCTTACCTTGAGCGGGATTTAAATAAACACCATTAATGTAAGTACTTTTATTCCATTATGGATAAATTTCACATTTTGTTTCTATACACTTCTCTCAATGGCTGGTGACATAATGAGGTGATGTGGTATTGTAAGAGTTAGTCATAATGTATATCTTACCATCTCATCACCTTCATCTATCATGTCCATTTGCTTATTAAAAATAAGTACACAAGCATTTCACCATCTCTTCTCTCGTCTCTATGACATGCACTTCAGCGTGTGATCAAATACATTTGTGTACTCTCCACCAAAACACTGACTTTTTAAATTTCTTTATCATCTTCTATTTTCAATTCTGTTACATCTCCAACATCAAATTTATACCAGTGATCTGAGTCACTGGCTACCATCTTTGAATAATACAAGAATAATAAGCCAGGCACAGTGGCTCATGCCTATAATCCCAGTACTTTGGGAGACCCAGGCGGGCAGATCACCAGGTTAGGAGATCCAGACCATCCTAGCTAACATGGTGAAACGCCATCTCTACTAAAAATACAAAAAATTAGCCGGGCTTGGTGGCAGGTGTCTGTAGTCCCAGCTACTCTGGAGGCTGACGCAGGAGAATGGCGTGAATCTGGGAGTCGGAGCTTGCAGTGAGCCAAGATTGCACCACTGTACTCCAGCCTGTGCTACAGAGCAAGACTCTTGTCTCAAAATAAATAAATAAATAAATAAAATAATAATAATTCCCACTCCTTGCTTGATCAGCATTGCTACTGTGTAAGGTCCCATATCCAGGTCCCAGAGAAATTAAAAATAATCACTGAATGTAATTGTACATTTTCCCAGACATATTAAAATTGTTTGAGTTGGCCGCAAAACCAAAAGGCAATATTTTAAATAGCAAGTGCTTTCCTGTGTTAACATAACATAAACAGAGAATATAAACAAATATTATCTTGTTACCTGCGCAAACATTAAAACAATGTAATGAGAATTTTAAAGTTTATAATCTTTTGAACCGGGCGCGGTGGCTCACTCCGGTAATCTCAGTAATTTGGAAGGCTAAGGCCAGCAGATCACAAGGTCAAGAGATTGAGGCCATCCTGGCCAATGTGGTGAAACCCCGTCACAACTGAAAAAAAAAAAAAATTGCAGGGTATGGTTGTGCCTACGTGTAATCCTAGTTACTCAGGAGGCTGAGGCAGAATTGCTAGAACCTGAGAGCCAGAGGTTTCAGTGAGCTGAAATTGTGCCACTGCACTGCAGCCTGGGCAACAGAGCAAGACTCCATCTCAAAAAAAATTATAGTCTTTCTCAACTTGTTTATATAGATGAGTAAATGATAATTAACACCAGCAGGGTAATTATGTCATAACTAACTTAAGCAATGCTTACTTACCAAAGCTTAAAATGTTTATATATAGTAATCCTTTGGCATCTGTAGGGGATTGGCTACAGGATCCCCATGATTACTATAATTTGTGTCTGCTCAAGTTTCTAGTGAACAGTGGTGCAGTACGTAAATATAACGTACACACATCCTTCTGTATAGTTTACTCATCTCTAAATAAATAATAAAATGTAAATATTATGTAGACAATTATACGGTAATTGCTTTTAAATTTGCTAGTTTTTATTGTATTGTTATTTTTTGTTTTTGGACATTTTAATACATGTTTAGAGAAATCTGTGTTTTCAGAACCTGTGGATGTAAAAGGTCACTTACGTGTTGCAAATTGGAAAACATTACTGACACAGACCCTGATGGCTATGTGGTTCCATATAGTCACAACTATCTGTTTTATTCCTCTAATGCTTTCTTTTATGCTATTAATTAGAATTTGGTGTGAGTAAACTGAAGATATATGATAAGCAATAATAATAGCAGCTAATATTTATAGCACTTAAAGACCAGGTAATACACTAAGAGCTGCACACATATTAATAAATTTAATCCTGACTGTCTTTTTTTTTTTGAGATGGAGTTTCACTCTTTTCACCTAAGCTGGAGTGCAATGGCAGCATCTCAGCTCACTGCAACCTGTGCCTCCAGGATTCAAGTGATTCACCTGTCTCAGCCTCCCCAGTAGCTGGTATTACAGGCATCTGCCACCATGCCTGGCTAATTTTCATATTTTTGGTAGAGATGGGGATTCACCCTGTTGGCCAGACTGGTCTCACTAATTATAAAAAGGTAATAACTATATATAATTACTTTAAATGTGTGGATTTAGAGTGGCAGAAAGGGCAGGGTGCATGGCTCACACCTGTAATCCCAGCACTTTGGGAGGCCAAGGCAGGCGGCTCAGGAGGTTGGGAGATCGAGACCATCCTGGCTAAAAATGGAGTAACCGCCTCTCTACTAAAAATACAAAAAATTAGCCAGGTGTTGGGGCGGGTGCCTGTAGTCCCAGCAACTCGGGAGGCCAAGGCAGGAGAATGACATGAACCCAGGAGGCCGAGCTTGCAGTGGGCCGAGATTGTGCCACAGCATTCTAGCCTGGGCGACAGAGTGAGACTCTGTCTCAAATAAAGGGACAAGGAAAGGGAAAAGGGAAGGGAAGGGGAGGGGAGGGGGAAAGGGAAAGGGAAAGGAAAAAAAAGTGGCAAAAAGGGTAAAAATAAACTGTTCCAAGTCTCAGAGGTGTGAATAGAAGGAAGGATGACTTTATAAACAAACTACAATCTAAATGGCAGCTAAATTCAAAACAATGCAGAAAGCTTGGAGGTGAGAAGTTATGAAAGTGAAGAAAGACATATGTGTTACTTAACATATAACATCTTGAAAGACATTTTACCATTTCATCTCCCAATCAATTTGTGCAGAGATAAAATCAGCTGGTTAGGCCTAGAGATTAAAATCTGTTTGTGAAACTACAAGCGGGTGTTAAAATCTGTTGTAACCACATTAACTTAAACTTTTTTACTTCTGAGGTATCTACAGTAGAAAAAAAAGTTTTATTCTATTAACTCCTCATGATTCAATCACTAAATTGCAATTTATTTTAGAGATGAAAACAATCTTTGAGATCCTTTTATATCTAAAATTATTCACCTAATAAGGCTGATTTTTTTCTAGTCAGTCACTGTATTTTGTCAATATTCTTTCCCTTTAAACCCGTTATCATCTTGATTACCTCTCTGATACCACTAAAACAGTAAAGAGAAAAACAGTAAAGAAAAAGCAGATGTTAATTTTGAGGATAAGCACAAACAACTCTAATGTCTTCTGATTCTGTTCAATGACATCATTATTTTTTTCAAAACTGAACAAAATATACTTTATATCACATTTTACAATAATATACATTTGCACCTTCATTTCATATACTGTTCCAAATAATCAAGAAGATTTTTGTGTTTGTTAATGTCCACATTCAAAGTTGTAAATGATTCCTCACATTTTACCAAAAGATATTATTAAAGAAACAAATTTTAAAAATGTATTCTTTACATTATTTTCCCTGTATAGACAGTTTATTTGTTTGTTTATTTGTTTTTTGTTACCCAGGCTAGAGTGCAGTGGCACAATTATAGTTCACTGTGATCTCAAACTCCTTAGCTTAAGGTAGGGGTCACCAAGCAGTACCCATCTCTGTCCTGTTAGGAACTGGGTCACACATCAGCAGGTGATTGGTGGGCAAGCACGGAAGCTTTATCTCTATTTAAAGCATTACCTATGGTTCACCTTACCGCCTGAACTCCACTTTCTATAAGATCCTTGGCATCAATTAGATTTTTATAGAAGCTAAACACTACTATTTACTGTGCACGTGAGAAACCTAGGTTTTGCACTCTTTATAAGAATCTAGGCCAGGCGCGGTGGCTCTTGCCTGTAATCCCAGCACTTTGGGAGGCCGAGGCGGGTGGATCATGAGGTCAGGAGATCGAGACCATCCTGGCTAACAAGGTGAAACCCCGTCTCTACTAAAAATACAAAAAATTAGCCGGGCGCGGTGGCGGGTGCCTGTAGTCCCAGCTACTCGGGAGGCTGAGGCAGGAGAATGGCGTGAACCCGGGAAGTGGAGCTTGCAGTGAGCCGAGATTGCGCCACTGCAGTCCGCAGTCCGGCCTGGGCGACAGAGCGAGACTCCGTCTCAAAAAAAAAAAAAAAAAAAAAAAAAAGAATCTAAAGCCTTATGACCCGTAACCGTCTCCTATCACCTCCAGATAGAACCATCTAGCTGCAGGATAGTAAGTTCAGGGCTCCTACTGATTCTACATGATGGTGAGTTGTATAATTATTTAATTAAATATTATAATGTAATAATAATATAAATAAAGTGCATAATAGATGTAGGGCACTTGAGTCTTCCCCAAACTGTCCCTGCAACCACAGTCTTAAAAAATTGTCCTTCACAAAAACAGTCCCTGGTGCCAAACTGTTCCAAATGATCACACATAGATGCACACACACATAAATACTTGAGTAAAATTTTGAAGACTAAACTCAAAGTGTTATAATAATTTGAAAGAACAAGAACAGAACGTGGCCTAGATTGCAGAAAAAAATGTTTCAAGTAGAGAACGCTGATAAAAATAAATTGTTAACATATTTGAAAAGAAGAGGAAGTCACATGTGAGGCTGTAGAACTAAAATAGGTAAATAAGAACTATATATGCAAATTATACTTATAACCTAGGCTTACAGTTTGGCTATGGAATCTAGAAAATTAAACTGAGAGATATAATGGAGAGTCAGTGCATTATAGGTGTGATACAGACTTTTAAAAGAAGTCTAAGTGATACGCTAATAAATGGAAGAGGAGGGGCTGTGAGTGAAACAGAAGGCAGCCCAGAAATCAGAATATCTCTTTTGCTTCCTACCTCTGATCTATTTAGTAAGCACTTTTTTGAAAGAACACTAAACTCTTATGAGGGAGTGCAGCTTTTTTTTTTTACAAACTAGAAAGAGCTATATACTACAGTATATGATTAAAAGTTGTGTGACAGTGTTTATTATCATATGTGCCACAAATTAGGCCTTGATAAAATGAGTGAAACAAAGAAAACAAAATCAAGATGTTATGAAGCTGTGCGTTGGGGGTCGGGGGGCGACTTCTCTTCATTGCTCAGGATGAAGTGCAGCAGCACAATCACAGCTCAGGCAATGTTTTCCCCTCATTGTCCCAGGTAGCTGGGACTACTGATGCAGACCATTACACTCAGCTAATTTTTTGCATCTTAATAGAGACAGGATATCACCATGTTGCCCAGACTGGGTATGAACTCCTATAATCCAGTAATCTGCCTACCTTGGCTTCACAAAGTGCCAAGACTACCAGTGTGAGTGACAGTGCCTGCCTAAATGGGCTTTTTCAAATGTAAAAAAGGACCAAATGTTACTGGTCACTTTTGTAAGTGGCTCAAAAACTATATGATTACTTTACAAGCTTGCAAAAAAATGTATATTATATAAAGTTATATGTTGTATATTTATATATAAGTATATTATTTCTTTTTCTTACATGGCTAGGAAGAGGTAGTTTCCTGTCAGTGATAAAAATGTTCATTTGATAATAAAAACATTTATTTGATGATGAGTAATGTTGATCTTTGAGATGATTATTATACATAATATCAAGCGTTAATATTACTCTAGAAGCTAAAAGGCATAACTGATACACTAGTCTAACTTTAAAAGTATGATAAAGGAAGTTTAAACAAATGCCAACAGGTAGTGAATAAAATGGCATGTTATCTTCCCAAGTACTTGAGACTACAGGCTCATACCACCACAGCAGAATAATTCTTGTATTTTTTTTAGAGACAGTGTTTTGCCACGTTGCCCAAGCTTATAAAATCGTTTTTATTATGTGTGATAACAGCACCATGGCCATCTTTTTAAATTTAAACTTTAGAGATGCATTAAAATATCTATACAAATAAAACAATATACTTGGCATTTGCTTTATTAGAGAACTGTTAAATCAATGAGATGACTACATTTCAGTATTTTGCTTATATATAATTTATAAATCTAATAATAAGAAGTTAATTATATCATGAGATATAAAAAATATACTGTCTGTCTTTGCTGTGAAAATTTTAACCTCTTTCAGTTGGGATAATACTAATAAAAATGACCAAGAGAAACAGCTAGAATATTACTATTGTTTAAATATTAAACGCCTAATAAATTATGTATTTTAAGATATATTTAAACATTTTAGTTAGTGTACAGATGACTTTATCATATCTTACCCATAATTTACATAAACTGTTTCCAAAAACTTCTGGGTACATTATTGTAGTCAGAAAGCAGCTAAATGTAAAAGATGACCTGAAATTGTCTTAGGAGATCAATATTGTACGCTTTCCTATCTTCTGTCTTGTTTAATGCTGGTTTCTCTTCAAATTTATAATGATATCTAAACACATCATCTCGGAGATCTCTAGAGACCAGAAGACATTAGTGATGCACTAATCTAACATTAAATGTATAATGAAAGAAGTTGAAATAAACACCAACATTTGGTTAATAAAATTATATGCATTTTTTAATACTATTTTCAAAAAACTTATTGGTTTTAATATTTAGTATTAGTACTTATTTCACAGATGGACCATCATAAAGAGTTCACAGAAAAGTTATCATTAGAAACAATAGAATAATAGCAATTATAACCTGCAATTCATTAAAGATTAAAGTCTAATCAGTGGTCTCTCATAAATAACTTATGAGGAATAAGTTACTTCGTTCTCCAAGAATTCAGTGTCTTCTTGTGAGAATAATGCATTTTTGCAGATTATATGATGTAATTTATGTGATGTATTTAGAGTTACTACCACTCAATAAATACAGCTCTTAAGAGTAGTTGTGGAATAAACAAGAGTATACACAGAAGCTCCAAAGGTCATAATTTTCTTGTAGCTACAGAGCAAAATATAGTTGTTTTACAGATATCTAACATGTTTCTATATGCTTTGCTCTTCTGAGGTTTCTGATACAGAAATAAACAATATCCAGTTCATAGCCTGAGGAAGTTCATCCCACAGAAAAAGCAACTAGGCAGACACGCATGCCACAGTAAAGTGCTGAGACAACATAAAGCAAAAGCAACCAACCAAGCACAAAGGTAGGGGACTTAATTTGAATTTTATACTCTATCTGCCTTGTTCACTTCTTGTCAGTATAATTAGCAATCTCTATCTATTTTAAATTCAGAACCAGAGGGGCAAAAGGGGCTTCAGTATCAGGACTTACATTCTACTTTTTTGTCCAATAGTTTCTGTTAACCAAGTATTAACGAACATCCCATATGGAGATTCTAGTAAAAGGAATGCTTCCCAGGTTGTAATTGCTGCGTGGTGTAATCTATTCAATCTAGTAAGGCAGTGTTTTTTATAGTCTTCATAAATGAAAAGTGCTGAGATGTTATTTGAAAGACAAACTATTTCTAACCACTGAGGGAAAGAAATGTAGAAATTTAAGAATCATTTACTACAGTTTAATTATTCAAATTTCTCTATTTAATTTCTATCAATGTCTATAGAAAAATATAAATGAATGGTAAACAACTTGAGTATAAACATTTCCAAAATTCAAGTTTTCTATATTCACCTATTTAATAGCTATATCTTAAAAATGTGATCTGCCATTAAAAAGTGACTTTTTGCTGCTTTATTTTTATTTATGTACTTATTTACTTAATTTATTTATTTTTTTGAGATGAAGTCTTGCTCTGTTGCCCATTCTAAAGTGCAGTGGCGTAATCTTGGCTCAATGCAAGCTCCGCCTCCCAGGTTCACACCATTCTCTTGCCTCAGCCTCCTGAGTAGCTGGGACTACCGGAGCCCATCACCACACCCAGCTAATTTTTTTTTTTTTTTTTGTATTTTTTTTTAGTACAGATTGAGTTTCACTCTGTTACCTAGGATGGTCTCAATCTCCTGACCTCGTGATCCGCCCGCCTCGGCCTCCCAAAGTGCTGGGATTACAGGCGGGAGCCACCGCACCTGGCATGCTGCTTTATTTTCAACAGATATTTTTTATTTTTAACCAAATGCTTTTATACTTTTAGCAGCCTAATTGTAATTGTTATATAATGTTGCTAACAGGTCTACGTAGCATTATTAGAAAAACAAATTTTTTTCTGTAGCAGAAAAATCCCTAATTTTAGAAAAATATACATAGAATCCTAAAAATAAGCACAACTTATTTAACACAGATGGGATAAAAGTTTAAAAAAAAAAACAGAATACTTAAAAAAAGATGAGTATGATTATTAAAAATAAAGATTTCTAATTCTTCACATACTGAATTGCATTTACCGTGTCATACATACGTGATTATATCAACTGTGCTTTGAAAATAAACAAAAAAGTGATAAATATTATCAACTATATTGTCAAGTTGTTAGATGAGAGTGATAAACATGCCAGTGATGGTATTGCAGACATTCTAGCCGTATCATCAAATGCAGTTCTGACAAAATCTTGTGAAAACACAGTAATCTCAGAATGAACAACAGTATCTGCTATCAGAATATTTTTAAAATAATTAATATTTACCTCACATTTTGTTTCTCATCTTTGAACAATAATTGTTTGTATCACTACCTGTGTTTTCAATTACAGAAATATTGTTTGTGACAAGGGTGATTATGTATAGTTGCTAGATCACAGAATTAATGTGACAGGTAGTACCAGCTTGAATCCCACAAATCCTTTTAGTGGGTAGGGCCCAACAGGGGACAGATACTCCTGCACACTGAGTGATTCACAAGATGAGATAAGAAAAAAAATGCTTATGCTACAAAAATAATGATTCTGTCCATTGTTCTCTTAATCAGTCTGGGTAAATTCATTCTATCAGGTTAAGACAGCAATTTTGAAAGAGTACTTTAAACTTTTACATCAGCAACTTGAGCCACTATACAGGCCCTTTACTACAGACTTGTTAAGCAAACATTTTTAAAGACATTGCTTCTGTAACCATTTTCTTAGAATCATGTAAGCTGGTATAATATTAAATTTTCATGTGTTAAACGCAGACAGCTTTAATCATTAATTTAGTTATAAAAAACTTGTGCACTGTAAGTGTATTCAAAACACTGTCATCAGAACTTTACATAAATAAAACATTAGAATTTTCTGTTTTAATTGAGCACTTCATTTAAAATTATTTTTCTGACTCATAAAAACTATAATCTTCACATACATTTCTGCTTTCTTCTTCAGCAAATAGTGAAAATTGCTTTGTCTATATTCACAGTTTTATTGTGAGATGAAGTCGTTGAGATGGTGTATTTAAAAATCACTGTAAGAACTGTAAATGCTTCTCTGTGTAAAACTGAATACAACTTACACATCAATCCATCTTAGTGGTGGACTGCATATGTTGGAGCACATTGAACTGCAAGCTACAAAACAAATGGATCTTCATATATTGACACGTGAGTGACTAAGTATAAAACAAATTTAGCAATATTTTATATTGCATACTTCTTTCTTTAAAGAAGCTATATGTATGGAGAAGTATATATACGGAAATAATCTGTGCATCAGAAATATAATATCGGCCGCAAGTCAATAACTTTTAATACACATCTTCATTCATATATGTGTGTGTGTGTGTCTATATATATATATATATATATATTTTTTTTTTTTTTTTTTTTTGAGATGAAGTCTCACTCTGTTGCCCAGGCTGGAGTGCAGTCGCGTGATCTCGGCTCACTGGAAGCTCTCCCTCCCGGGTTCACGCTATTCTCCTTTCTCAGTCTCTCTTGTAGCTGGCCCACGCCACCACGCCCGGCTGATTTTTTGTATTGTTAGTAGAGACGGGCTTTCACCATGTTAGCCAGGATGGTCTCGCTCTCCTGACCTCGCGATCCACTCGCCTCGGCCTCACAAAATGCTGGGATTACAGGCGGGAGCCACCGCGACCAGCCATCTTCTTGTACATTTTTAAATGTATGTTAAACACAAGAAAACATTGGCTAAATAGTTTAACAACAAGAATGTTGGTTTAAGAAAAATTTCTTTTTAAAATATATATTTATGGCCAGGCGCTGTGGCTCATGCCTATAATCCCAGCACTTTGGGAGGCCGAGGGGTGCGGATCACGAGGTCAGGAGATCGAGACCATCCTGGCTAATACGGTGAAACCCTGTCTCTACTAAAGATACAAAAAATTAGCCGGGCGTGGTGACGGACGCCTGTAGTCCCGGCTACTCGGGAAGCTGAGGCAGGAGAATGGCGTGAACCCAGGAGGCGGAGTTTGCAGCGAGCCGAGATCGCGCCCCTGCACTCCAGCCTGGGCAACGGAGTGAGACTCTGTCTCAAAAAAAAAAAAAAAAAAAAAAAAATATATATATATATATATAATTTATTTATTTTCACATATATATTTTTCACACACATATATATTTCACACATATATATATTTTTCACACATTTTCACACATATATTTTTTCACATATGTATGTGGATACATACACATGTGTGTATATATGTATATATGTATGTATATATACATATATGTGTATGTACATATATTCATTCATATATATATGTCAATGCAATTGTTACATAAATTAACAAAAAAGATGTTTTCAAGCAGAAAACTCTGCTGTCTACATACAGCCCCCAAGACAAATAAATATCTGTCCTCTTAAGCAGTGAGTTCAGCTAGAAACTACAGCAATGTGCTAGAAAATATACTCAGAGAAAAAATAAACAAATATAAAAAAATTAACATTTACCAATTAAAAATCTGTAAGGAATGCTGCTGTTAATTATATTCTTAACCCTCAGTTTTCTCTTGAAATAAACTAAATTTTATGTTATTATTTGTTAATTTACTTATATTACCTCCCTCCCTGATTCTGAGTTCTGTGTAAGATTTGAACATTGTTAGTCACTTTGTTAGATTGATGTGAACATTTAGAAGTAATAAAGTGCAATCAAAGGTTCTCTTCTCACATAATGATTTTTAAAGCTATACCTCTCTTAGAATTTAACTAAAATAACATTAAATAACTTCAATGTTTGGATTTAGAAGATCTTTTTAATGAATACACTTTAAATATAAAGTTTTGTAGCATTAAATTTCACTTGTTACTCTAAAGTTTCAATATTTTTTCACATATGATTAAATAAAACTCACTGTGGCAAGTTACCAAAACTAAATATAGGGGAGCATTTAAGAAATACATATTTTTTAAAAAATTTATATTCTCTGACTTAAATTGTTTTAGTTATATGCCTGATGGCTACAGAATGTTAAACTTGTTGGTCAAAACAAAAAATCCATGAGTTAATTTTTTCTAAAGGAAAAAATAGAATTTTAAGCAAAACTATTATTAGTGAGCAAAAGCAGCTTTTTAATTTAAAATACCCACTAGTTATTGCTTTGTCTATGTAATGTATTTCAGTCAGTCTACTATCTTTTTGAGGTTTTTTTACACAGCCAGTAACTCGTGGTACAAGCAGCTGAAAATCAGCATTGATCGTAGCGTGTGACCTACGCTAGAACCACCTGCTCTGCTGGCAGTTCTTTACTTCTTATATATTGCAAGTAAATTTTTGATGCAGGGAAAATGAAAACATGAATTAATTTCCAGTAAGTTAGAAAAAGTAATCACATATTATTAGTAGAAAACATAGCTTAAGAAAAATATGTTTTTTTCAAAGAAAATACTTTTAAAGTTTATTTGACAAAATTAAACATCTCATATCTTGAAACAATTTTGAATTTTCTTACAGAAGCGAATCCTAAAAAAAAAGTGATCATAATCAATAAATGTAATTAGTTTCCCAAGTTAGATTTTTTGAAATTTCTGAAATCTGACTTTATCCAAAAGAAAAATAACATTCTAAATTAATCTTCTCTGTTAACTATATATTAATGGAAATAAATTTATTTATGATAAAAAGAAAATGAATTTAAATTATATTATTTTTCTTGAATTATGAAACAAAAGAAACTCATCAAAAATATGATATAAAAAAACTAAAGTTTTCAAGAGGGATTTTTTCTCAATTAGAAATTCAATGAAGGGACTAGCATGGTGGCTAACACTTGTAATTCCAGTGCATTTGAAGGCCAAGAAAGGTCAGAAGCTTCAGACAAGCTTGGCCAATATGGTGATAGGCCCTATTAGCTGCAGTGGTGCACTCCTGCAATCTCAGGTAATCAAGACGCTGATGCAGAATAATAGCTTGAACCTGGGAACCAGGGGGTTTCAGTGTCCCAAGATTGCACCACTGCACTCCAGCCAAAGGGACAGTGTGAGATTCCATTCTAAAAATAAAAGAAATTCAATCAACTAAGTTTGTGACAACTCTGATTTGTAGTAACGAAATGTCTTAAATAATGTGTGACACACATTTCAAAGTTATTCCAACATCGCCTGTACAAAAAGAAAGCCTTTTTATTGTTAGTTAATTTATATAATTTTGCTTTTTATAATTTTATTTATTATTGTTCCAGAGTACATATGCAGGACATGCTGGTTTATTTCATAGATAAACATGTCCATGATTGTTCGCTGCACCTATTAATCCATCATTTAGGTATTCAGCCCCACATTAATTAGCTATTTGTCCTGCAGCTCTTTTTTTATCCTGCCCCATGACATAACCAGATATGTGGCATGCCCCTCCCTGTGTCTATGTGTCTTCAAACTTCAGACCCTCATAAGAAGGTGGAAATGCAGTCTTTGTTTTTTTGTTTCTGTGTTAGTTTGCTGAAAATGATGGCTTCCAGCTTCATTCATCTCCCTGCACAGGACATGATCTCCTTCCTTTTTATGGCTGCATATTATTTCATGATGTATATGTGTCACACTTTCTTTATCCATTCTGTCATTGATGGGCATTTGAATAAATTCCATGTCTTTGCAACAGTAAAGCAATAACCGTACACATGCATGTAGTCTTAAAATAGAATGACTTTTTTTTGTGTGTGGGTGCTACATACCCAGTAATGAAATTGCTGAGTCCAGCGGTGTTTCTGGTTCTAGACACTTGGTGAATTATCACACAGTTTTCCACAATGTCTGTACTGATTTACACTGCAAACAACAGTGTAAAAGCATTCCTATTACTGCACTGCTTTACTACAATCTATTGTTTCTCGGGTTTTTAGTAATCATCATTTTGACTGGCCTCAGATGTTACCTCATTGCAGTTTTGATTTACATTTTCCTAGTAATTAGTAAAAGTAAGAGAAAAATGAGATCTCTTATAAAATTTCTGCGAAATTTCATCTTTTTTTGAGAGGGGTTTTGTTCTTGTCATCCAGGCTGAAGTGCAGTGGGGCAATTTCAGCTCACTCTAACCTCCGTCTTCTGGGTTCAAGCAATTCTCCTGCCTCAGCCTCTCAAGTAGCTGGGATTACAGGTGCCAGCTAAGTTTTTTTTATTTTTATGTTTATTTTTGTATTTTTAGTAAAGATGGGGTTCATCAATGTTGGCCAGTCTGGTCTGAAACTCCTGATCTGAAGTGATCCTCCTGCCTCGATCTCCGAAAGTGCTGGAATTACAGGTGTGAGCCACCATGAGAAGCCATTGAAAAAATTTTTAAAGTGTTTTTTTTTAATTTCTTCTTCAGAACTCTGTAGAATTGTAAATGTCAACGGTTCTGCTTCCACAAGACACAAACATATTTGAGTATTTCAACCACAGAAAAAGGATGTCACTATTACACTTAGTGGAAAAGGCCAGAAAGGCTGCTCAGGCTTCCCAGGCTGCTAATCATCCTACAATGCACAGCAAAAGCTTCTCCCCCACAAAATTATATGAGTACAAAATGCCAAAGTCCAGGTATCAGAAATTCTGTCTCCTCAAGAAGCTTCATAATCTCCTAGAAAGATGCTAACTTGAAGCCCAATGCCATATAGTTCAGAAAAATATTCTCACATGATATATTTCTGTGTAAGAGGGATCAGGTGGTTCAATGCTAAGGCCAACTTTCAAATTTGATTTTTAAAAAATTTTGAAATGTAATAATAATTTCCTAATAAGGTTAAAACTACCAAAATGTAGTTCACAGAATTATCTGTATTTCAAGATCCACGAGAAGGCACAACTAGCTATGCTTCTTTTTTCATGGAATTTTAGGGGAGTCATTTTGCCAGATGAAAACCTTTATGGCCAATGGTGCTTGTGCCTGAGTTTTGCTCAGGCCTGCTAAGCTTGTTCTACCCAGTCTGCCTGACAGGCTGCACTCAGCTTCCATTATGGGCCAAGATTTAACACCAGCCAAGGGCAAGCATGAGTGTGTGGTGAGTGGTGTATGAGCAAGCATGGGCTCCAGCCACAAAACACAGCCAGGCTTGCCAGGTGTGAGAGGGCAGAAAGTGTTAGGTGCCAACAAAAGTACCAGTGAAATGAGAAGCTGCAGCTGGAACAGGAATACTGTAAGCAGCTTCTACAGCTGATACTGGGAAATGTAGTGGTGCCCAGAAGCATGGAGATTCCAGAAACTGCAAAGTCCCAAAGAAGGTGTCACAGCCAGCCCTTAGGTCTGAAAGGTCACCGTTCTCCTCTTATCTTTGTCTTCCACAATGTGATGAGCAAGGGGCAAGTTTTATCCCTGTTTGTGTTGCAGGTCATTCAGCCCTGACATTCAACAGATCTAAAACTGTTGTTCTGCATCAAGAAAGAAAGAGGTACATGCTGCCATCAGCCTTTCCAGTTCTGTCTGAAGATATAAAGCCTGAGCTAGCTGAGGCAACAGTGATGGCCTCCCCGAGTCAGTTGCCAGGCACTATAATGTTGAGTCTCCTCAGAATCCACCCTTACACCTCTGTTTACTTCTAGACCTATAACTAGACTCAAGTTCTGCAGGGGTCTATCCCACAGACCCTGACCCAACAACAGATGAATAAAGTACACTGATGCATGATATTCTGCTTTGCCAGTTCGACTGAGCATCTGGGCCACTTACAGACTCCATGCAGAGTGCTGTAAACAGTTGCGACCAGGGACTGTAAACAGTCCTGACCAGTTAATGAGACTGGTACTTATTCAGTAAAGACTAATTGACAAAGCTCATGAGTAAACACAGCTAGAGGGTAATTGACATCGTGGAGTTTCTGAGTAGAAAGCAATTAAGCACCTGCAGTATTAGATCAAAGGTTAGTCTTAGGACCACACAAGTAAAGAAGCTAGTTAGGTAAACTACTCTACCTTCCATTGTACCCACTTTAAGCTATTTACACAAGGTATGGATTAGGTTGCCTTCAGTCATAACCTTATACTGAGACTTTTACAAAAATCTTTAGGCTTTCCAAGAAGGTTTGTGGCTTATAATTGTCCCTACCATCTTGATCAATCTGCTACCTCTTCCACTTTTTTGTTTTCTGCATCAGGTTTCTTAATTGGAGAGCATAGGTATGTCAGCAACCAGTCTGTCAGGTGTGGCTGTCCTGGCAGTCATTACTCTTATTCTAACTTTGCATCTTAGAATTAGCAAACAATAAAAAACAATCATGAGTACAATTAGCAGCATTCTTTTCCAGTCAAAGTGTGGTCCCCAGGAGTGGGGGGTCTAACTAGGAGAAATGATCTTGCACACCCTTCCTTGTGGCTGTTTGTTGTGTGTGTAGGTCTATGGTGTGAAGGGATTCTAAAATGTTAGTTTTAAGTTGGCTTAAAACTGCTGTTAAATTGTCATGAAAGGTTCCCCAGAGATGCTGTTCTACCTCATCTCAACAATGTATAGATTGAGTCCATGGTAGAGAAGTGACATAGAGATGTTTATGTTCCCAGTCACAGCTTAATTGCTTTCAGAATGCCAGTAGATCTTGTCGTTCCCCTGCATATTTTAAAGTAGCCTCGAGGGCTCGCAGACATGCAAGGATTTTTTTAATCTATATCTTGCTGAGAGAGAATTCATTAGACACATTGTTGGCCAGATTATCTACAAAGGCAGCTATTTTTACTGACTCAGTAATAGATGCAACAGCAATGCTAGCAGTTGCCAGGATAACTACAGCTGAGAATATAAAGGCCATAAGTGTAACTGTAAACATTTTGTGTCTGTCCTGGGACAGAGCATATTCTAAGGTGGAAATGGCAGAGGAACTTTGCCAATTGCATGTCAGATTGACTGGTAGGAATGCCTCAGATTGTCTCCTTAATACCATGACACTAATAATTATTGGGGAACCTGCCCCAATATTCATGTAGGTTCTTTTCTATTTTCCTTAAGTGTCAGCTGGCTTGAGAAATAAAGGGACAGAGTAGAAAAAAAGAGAAATTTTAAAGCTGGGCATCTGGGGGCGACATCACATATCGGTAGGTTCTGTGATGCCCCACAAGCCACAGAAACCAGCAAGTTTTCATGAGGGATTTTCAAAAGGGGAGGAAGTGTGCGAATAGGTGTGGGTCACAGACATCAAGTACTTTACAAGGTAATAGAATATCACAAGGCAAATGGAGGCAGGGTGAGATCACAGGATCACAGGACGAGGGTGAAATTAAAATTACTACTGAAGTTTCGGGCACCATTGTCATTGACAACATCTTATCAGGAGACAGGGTTTTGAGAGCAAATGGTCTGACCAAAAATTTATTACTTGGGAATTTCCTCTTCCTAATAAGCCTGGGAGTGCTATGGGAGACTGGGGTCTATTTCACCCCTATGGCCTCGACCATAAGAGATGGGCACACCTAAGGGGGCCATTTATAGGCCTATACCTCCAGGTGCATATTCTCTTTCCCAGGGATGTTCCTTGCTGAGAAAAAGAATTCAGCAATATTTTTCCCATTTGCTTTGAAAGAAGAGAAATACGGCTCTGTTCTGCCTGGCTCACTGGTGGTCAGAGTTTAAGGTTATCTCTCTTATTCTCTGAACAATTGCTGTTATCCTGTTCTTTCTTCAGGATGCCCAGATTTCATATTGTTCAAACACACATGCTCACAATTTGTGCAGTTAAGGCAATTATCACATGGTCCTGAGGCGACATATATCCTCATGAGCTGACAGGATTAAGAGATTAAAGACAGGCATAGAAAATCACAAGGGTATTGATCAAGGAAGTGATAAGTGTTCATGAAATCTTTAGAATTTATGTTTAGAGATTGCAGTAAAGACAGACATAAGAAATTATAAAAGTATTAATTTTGGGGACTAATAAATGTCCATGAAATCTTCACAATCCATATTCTTCTGCCATGGCTTCAGCAGATCCCTCCACTTGGGGTCCCTGACTTCCCACAACAAGTAATTTTGAAATTAGATATATTGTGATTGGTGATCATAATATATCTAATCAGTATGATTATGAACAAAGGCAGTAATCAGTGTAATTATGAACAAAGGTTATAGTATAGTTGCAACTGGAATTATTATTATTATTATTATTATTAGATGTAGTCTGGCTCTGTTGCCCAGGCTGGAGTGCAGTGGCATGATCTTGGCTCACTGCAAGCTCTGCCTGCCAGGTTCACGTCATTCTCCTGCCTCAGCCTCCCAAGTATCTGGGACTACAGGCACCTGCCAACACGCCTGGCTAATTTTTTTGTATTGTTAGTAGAGACGTGATTTCACCATGTTAGCCAGGGTTGTCTCAATCTCCTGACCTCATGATCCACCCTCCTTGGCCTCCCAAAGTGCTGGGATTACAAGCATGAGCCACTGCACCTGGCCATGACTGGAATTATGATAGGTACCATGCCAAGTGTTAAGGGAGGTGCTGAGATGTACCAGGCACCATAAGGTGACTTGGGGTGGCATGGACTTTACTTGGGGTCTGGAATATTCCATCCCCCCATTGGCCCAAATTATAGGGGAAAGAGATATGGTTATGAACTATGATTGTTGCTGTGATGGAAGAAGACATTAGTAAGACTGCCCTGCAATAGGCATTGGGGGCTCAAGTCTAGGATGTTATAATTGCCTAACCAGAAGCTATGGGCTTGTTTCCTGTGACAGACCTCCCAGCTAAAGTGGAATCCATTACTTTCCTGGCTTTTTTCTTTAGTACAGGAAGGAATGTTTGGGAAAGTGGCATTGATTGCATTGCCTGGATTGAGGCTTCCTGCAGCTAAGAATGTTAAGGCATTTCCTTTCCCATGATGTAGCCATACTTGTATTTGGGCAGGTACACAGTAAGTGTTAGAGCCTTTATAACTTACACACAGTGGGAGGATAGTGGAGTGATATGTAGTATTGTTTGGCACCTTAGTTCAATGTGTGCCATTATTGAGGGGTGCCATGGGGGTAAATCTATCCCTCCTAGTGAAGGAGTCATGTTATTATAGGTTGTAAAGAAAGTGTCTGCCCAGGTGAAAAAAAAGGCTGGTTTAAGATATAAGCTCAATAAATTTAGTAGGTGCAGTTTGCAGACAAAGCAAGAGCATGAAAAGGATTAATATCCTTCATGAGTTGCAATGAAAAACAGAACGCATAGCAAGAAACAAATTATCTGGAGTAAATAGTGTCTATGTCTGGAGGAGGATTTGTTCAGCCACCTGAGTTGTCCTCTTCAGCAGCCCCCAGGTAATGTCTGGCACTTGTGTCATTCATGTTAACTTCATCGTCCGGGGCTGTGGATCTTTCAGGATTCACTCATTCATTCCTGATACTGGGTTGGGTCCTAGTCATGCCATGGTATGGTTTGATGTGTCATGCTGAAATCCAAAGAGGACCTGAGGGGGTGTGGACACAAGCATACCTTCTTCCCCAGGTTAATAATTCCCTAGGACTGCACCATTCATTACTGTTTACATCTTTCCATAAAACTGTAGGTTTTATGCCAATAGCATTGAAGGGTCTTTACCCATACTCCCCCCACCCTTTTATTTGAGCATATTTTTAAGGGAGGAGTGGGCATGTTTTACTATTTCTTGTCTTTGGGGTTATATGGAATGCCTGTGGAATATTGGATGCTCCATGTGTGACAAAATTGTTGAAATTGTGAACTGACATAAGCTGGAGCATTATCAGTGTTAATTTTTGTGGGTCAGCCCATAAATGCAAAACTGAAAAGAATATGTTTAATGACATATTGAGTTGACTCTCCAGGCAGAGCATGTGCACTAATTAAATGCGTGTTGGTCTCAATGGATACATGTACATATCTTAGTTTTCCAGATTCAGGGATGTATGTATCATCTGTTTGCCATATCTGATTAGGCTCTAGTCCTCTAGGGTTAACACTTGTTGAAGGAGGAGATGTGCCTATGAGGTGGCAATCTGTGCATTTTAGGATAATTTTTTTACCACTCTGTGAGTAAGTGGAAATTATTTAGATAAGTTTCTCCAATTTTGGTGGCAAAATTGATGCAATTGGGTGGCTTGGTTAAGCAGTAATGTCATAACATGAAAGTCTGCTTCATTATTGCCATAAGTCAATGGGCCAGGCAGTGAGCTGTGGACTCGAAGGTTTGTAATAAAAATAGGATGTGTATGTTGATCAAGCAATTGCTAAAGTCAAAGAAAAAGAGCACACAGGGCTGGGCCCAGAGTGGACTCAATTAAGGTCTCTCAAGGTTTTGTAGTAAATAGAGTATGCACAGTCACGTACACTACTTATGGCCTGAGTGCAAAAAGTTTCCAAGGCCAGTATCAGAGCCCCAATCTAAGCTCTCTGAGTGCTAGTAAACCCAGATCAAGTGATTGAATTGTGTGGTCTCCACCAGACTGCTGCTTTTCCATGTTTACCAGACCCATCAGTAAACAATGTTAAAACATTAGATATGGGGATTGACCTCTTTCTGTGGACAAAATTACCAGCATATGAGATAATAAATGAAGGAGTTGATCAGAAGGATGGATGTGCTCTATTTGTCCTGTGTAATCAGAGAAAGCTATTTGCAAATCTATCAATAATGGCAATACTGCTTCAAATTGCTTTTTAGTTAAAAGAATCCTGATGACATCAGGATCATAACCTAGCAACCGATTACATCATTTGCAACCTGAATAGATGACTTTAGTAATTAACTAAATATAGGGAGATAGAGTTTTAGTCCCATTATGTGAGCAAAAAATCCATTCTAGGAAGAATAGCCCAGGGACCATTTGTCCTATTAACCCTTTAGGGGAGTGTTTGCTGGGAAAGATAAACAGCATGTACCATAAAGCCTGGGACTATGTGATCTAGCTGCCTCTGAGAGATGGTGAGTTCTATTTCCTTGATTTCTCTTTTTGATGCAGTTCTAGTTCTAGTTCCTTGATTTCCCTTTTTGCTGCAGGGGTTAAATATCTGGGATAATCTAGGGCTGGATTGCCCTTTAAGATAGAATACAGGTTTTATAGTTTATCAGTAGAAATCCTCAAAGTAGGGTGGTGCAAATTAATGTCTCTCAGAAATTTTTGATAATAATTTAAGATGTGTAACTTGCTAGTATTTAATTTAGTGTTTTGAGGTCTTACTGACAGGAAAGTTAGTATGTACCCAGGATATTTCCAAGGAGAATACAGCTGTCCTTTCTCAGGTGGAACAATTAAATCTCTTATCTGTGTATTCTTTATGACAGAGGAATATAAATTTAAAAATGTTGGCTCCATTGGGGCTGCAAGTAGAATATCATCCATAAAAATATTCATCTTGCAATCAGAAAACTCTTTTCTACTAGGGAGCAAAGCTTGATTTACATGATACTGACACAAGGTAGGACTGTTTAGCATTCCTTGAGGAAGCACTTTCCAATGAAATCAACAAGCTGGCTTTTCATTATTGATAGCTGATATGGTAAACACAATTTTTTCTCTGTCCTAGAGAAATTGTATGAAAAGAATCCTTTCAGTCAATAATGATTACAGGCAAATTTTGAGGAATCAAAGTGGAGGAAGGGGGGCCCTGTTGAAGGGGCCCAATAGGCTGTAAATTAGCATTAATAGCCTGTAAGTTTGGATAATTATCCATTTCCCAGACTTTTTGGGAATGATGAAAATGGGTGAATTCCAGGGACTGTGAGATAATTTGATATGCCCAGCCTTTGATTGCTCTTCAACTAATTCATGAGCCTTCTGTAATTTGTCTCACTTCAGAGGCCACTATTCTTCCCAAATTGGATCTTGAGAGAGACATGTCAGGGGTAGAGGAGAAATAACAATAGTGGCCATTGTCATAAAGGGGTATGCAGAGTGATCTCCTCACACACACTGGGCTAATAGGTCCTGCCCCCAAAGATTAACAGGATGGGCATGATTAGAGGTTGCATAACTGTCATTCTAACTTCATAATCACAGCATGTTAGGGGACGCATGCTCTGCTTGGCTGTGTGTGCTTTGTCAATGCAGAAATTTTCTGTTTTTGAGTGATCCAAGATCAAGTTTCTGGACAGTTCTGATCACTAATGATTAAAATGTTCACTCCTGTGCCCAATAAGCCAGTAAAATTCTTATGTCCAATTTTTAAAAGTAATCATGGGTCTCTGATCAGTGATTAATTGATTCCAATACACTCCCATGGCTCCTGTGCATCCAAAGCTTCCCTTTCGCTTTTCCTTTCCATGGGCATTGAAGACCCAGTATGGTAAAATCAGTAACTGAGCTATCTTTGATCCAGGGGGAGGAATATGCAGACCTTTACATTCCATCATAACCAATATCTCACTCTGATAATCACTATCAGTTACCCCATTGGGCACATTAATTCCTTGACTGGGTAGGCTAGACTGCCCTAGGACTAACCCCACTGTTCCCAGAGGCACTGGGCCCCAGATCCCAATTGCAACACTTTTAGAGTCTTCTTCTTTTAGCACTAATTCACTGGGGCAGAGTAAGTCCAGTCCTGTGCTCCCAGTTGTGGCCGCTCTAAAAGAGAGGACTATGGACTTCCCATTTGACCAAGGAAAGCTGCTGGCATTGCCCCAGTTGGGAGTGGTGCCTGGAGCTGACCCCTCATGAAGCTTCTGACTGGTTTCTTATGGGGTTGCCATTTTTATCCAATTTAGACCTGCATTGATCTGCCCAATGCTTCCCCTTCCTACTTTGGGGACATATAGAAGTTACCTTGATCTTTACTTGATCTTAGTTACCTTGATCTTTACTATAATGATATTCCCTTGTTATATGTCCTGGCTCTCCTCATAGAACACAATTTTGGTCTCTCTCCCTTTTCACTTTAGGAGGCCTTAATGCCATAGCCAATATTTTGGCTTTGCGTATCTCAGTTCCTACTAGCTGAAATGCTGGTATTAGCTCCCCAACAGTGGTGGCCTTTCCTCTGATTGCCTGCATTGCCTGCTGGCAAACCACACAGGCATTTTCAAAAACCAGCTGCAATGATATCAGTGGCCTGGGCATGACTAATTTGTCTCTTAATTGCCTTGGTTAACTGATTGATAAACTCAACAAATGGCTGCTGAGGCCCTTGTCAAACATTTACAAAAGATCCCTGCTGAATTCTGCTTTCAGGAATTTGGTCCCAAGCCCTGAGAGCACACAGAGGGACATCAGCATAAGCCTGGAGATCAAAATTTAGTTTTTATTGCACATCGGCATGAGGACCCCTTCCCTGGAGCATATCAGCTGTTATATTTTGCCTGGCCACCTGATTCACCAGGAGAGGCAATACGGCAAGTGACGTTTTCTCCTTCTTCCCCTTTTTAGGCTCTTCTGTGTATAATGAGACTAAAGCCATCCTTACAGGGGCCCATAGTGTTAAAATTGATACTGGGACCCATTGCCCTTGTGCATCATGCTGTTTAAGATTTCTCCCCACCTGTTACCAAAGTTCTACCTCTAGCATTCCTTATTCTGGGAACCATGGATTATGTGAGACAGTAGTTTGCATTAGTTCTCTTAAGTGAGTCCATGAACCTGATACTCTGGAAGCATTAAGCAACTATTTCAACATTTTATACACTGTTTTTGTTGAGTTGGTAACTGTTGTCCCATGATGAAACCTCAGCCTGACCAATCCCCTCTGAACTTGGAAATCCCAAGTGGACACCAATGACTTCCTGTTTTACTGACTTGACCACACAATCTTCTTCAATGTTTGTTTTCAGGGGGTCCATCGCACCTCCTTTGCCATGTTCTTCACATGGGGGTGCTGGCTGTGGGGGTCTTTCCTGCAGACCCTAACTCAATGATGGGTGAATAAAGTACACTGACACACAGATATTCTGCTTTGTGAGTTTGACTAAGCATCTGGGCCACTTAGAGTATCCACACAGAATGCACTAAACAGTTGCAACTGCAGCCTCAATCAGCCAGCGAGACTTGCATTTGTACAGTAAAGATTAATTGACAAAGGTCTGAGTAAACACCACTAGAGGGTAATTGACATTCAGACTTCCCAAGTAGAAAGGAATTAAGCACCTGCAGTAGATCAAAAGTTAGTCTTCTTACCACATGAGTAAAGAAGCCAGTTAGATAAACTACCCTACCTTCCTTTGTATGCACTTTAACCTATCTACTCAAGGTAAGGATTAGTTTGCCTTCAGCCATAACCTTATCCTGAGACTTTTACAAAATCCTTCAGGCTTTGCAAGAAGGTTTGTGACTTATAATTTTCCCCACCATCCTGACTGAACCCCTACAAAGCTCTGGTGGGCTCTTAGAGGTGAGATTGAGAATGTGACCTCTGAGGACGTATGGTACACATGAAAAGAACTGTTTGAGTTTTCAAATGTATATAAAATGTAGTCTGGGAACAGGCATGGGAATGGATAGTATAGGTATGAGAAAATAGTGGAAAAAAACCCAGAATTGTGTCAGGCTGAATTTATTGATCAGGGCTCACTAAGTAGGCTCTGCATTTAAAGCTGCAGCTCAAGGAGTTTAAAATGAGTTCTGATAATTTATTTGCTTGATTAAATGAAATATAAATAAAAAGATGGCCTACTGTGAGTGGGCTATAAATGTCTGCTCTTTATTGGTTTAATGTAAGGAAGACATCCAAAGGCCTAGGGAGATTTGGATGGTGGAGTGGATTTGTCACTTTAGACATACTCACCCCAGCTGGGAGGGTTCAAAAGATACACCCTTGATCAGTGCTTTGTGAAATAGATTTGTGAGATCAGCACCTGCATCTTTGAAGAGGCCTGTAATTTTTCTTCTCTGTATGTCAGATCTAAGGGTGGAAACTACAGTAACTAAACTACCAAATTTAAACACAATGGGAATAATTGTGTCCTGATGTGGAAAGGGAAATGATCAGACTTTTCAGGGACTGCTGGACACAGTCTATGAGCTGATGTTTATTCCAGGGGACAAAAAACATCACTGTGGTCCTTCAGTTAAAGTAGGACCTTATGAAGGTCAGGTAATTAATAAAGTTTTAGCTTCAGTCAGACTTAGAAGGGGTTCAATGTGTCCCTAGACTCATTCTGTGGTCCTTTTCCCAGTGCCAGAATGCATAATTGGCATAGACATACTTAGCAGCTGGCAGAATCCACCATTTGCTCCCTGACTTGTAGGGTAGAGCTACTATAATGGGAAAGGTCAAATGGAGGCCAATAGAGCTGCCTATGCCTAGAAAAATAGTAAATCAAAAACAATATCAATTTTTTGGAGAGATTGTGAAGGTTAGTGACACCATCAAGGACTTGAAAGGCATAGGAGTGGTAATTAGCAACACATCCTCCTACAACTCTCCCATTTGTCTGATGCAGAAGACACATGGATTTTGGAGAATAATAGTGGATTATCGTAAGCTTAACTGCATGGTGACTCCAATTGTACCTGCTGTACCAGATGTGGTTTTATTGTTTGAGCAAATTAATACATCTCCTGGTACCTGGTATGCAATAATTCACTGGGAAAATACCTTTTTCTTCATTCCTGTCCATACGGCTCACCAGAAGCAATTTGCCTTCAGCTGGCAAGGCCAGTAATATGCCTTTGTTATCCTACCACAGGGGTATATCAACTCTTTGTGTGTCATAATCTTATTTAGAGAGCCCTTGATTGCTTTTGGCTTCTGCAAGATAGCACCCTGGTCCATTACATTGATGACATTATGCAGATTTTACCCAGTGAACAAGAAGTAGCAAACACACTGGACTTATTTATGAGACATTTTTGTACCAGAGAATGGGAAATAAATCTGACTAAATTTCAGGGACACTTTATCTCAGTAAAATTTCTAGGTGTTATAAGGTAAATAACAAGTTGCTACATTAGGCTCTTCCTACAACCAAGAAAGAGGCAAAATGTCTAGGGAACCTATTTGGATATTGGAGGCAACACATTTCTCATTCAAGTATCTTACTCTGGCCCATTTATTTAGTGACCTGAAAGCCTGCCAGTATTGAGTAGTGTCCAGAACAGGAAGAAGATCTGCTGCAGTTCTAGGATGCCATGCTAGCTTCCCTGCCACTTGGGCCATATGACCCAGCAGTTCTAATGGTGCTTGAGGCATCATTGGTAGATAAGGTTGCTGTTTGGAGGCCTTGCCAGGCTCCCACAGGTGAATCACAGCATTGGTCTCTAGTGTTTTGAAGAAAAGCTCCACATGTTCTGCAAATAACTACTCTCCTTTTGAGAGATCTTGGCCTGTTACTGGACTTTGTTGGAAACTGAACGTTTGACTATGGGTCATCAAGCCACCATATGAACTAAATGGCCTATCATGAACTGCTTGATTTCTTAACCATCTAGCCACAAAATGGGTTGTGCATAGCAGTATTTCATCATCAAATGGAAGTGGAATATATGTGGCCATGCTCGAACAGGATGTGAAAGAACAAGTAAGTTAGTTATATAAGAAAGTGGATCAAAAGTCCACGCTCTCCACTTCTGCCATCCTGCCTTTTCTCCTTCAACTTGCAATCATGGTCTCATGAGGAGTTGCCTATGATCAATTGACAAAATAAGAGAAGATTATGGCCAGGTTCCAGTTGGTTCTGCACAATATGCAGCCACCACCCGAAATTAGACAGCTGCAGCACTACAGCTTCTTTTTAGGACATTCCTAAAAGACAGTGGTAAAGGGAAATCTTCCCAATGGGCAGAACTTCAAACAGAAATGGCCAGATGTGTGATTATATACTGATTCTTGGGCTGTAGCAAATGGTTTGGCTGGCTGATCAGGGACTTAGAAGAACCATGATTAGAAAATTGGTGACAAAGCAATTTTGGGAAAAGGTATGTGCAGGGGCCTCTCTGAGTGGTCAGAAACTGAGGATATTTATGTTTCACGTGAGTGCTCACCAACTGGTTACCTCAGCAGAGAAGGAATTTAATAATCAAATGGATAGAATGACCTGTTCTGTGGACACCACTCAGACTCTGTCCCAAGCCACTCCTGTCATCACTCAATGGGCCCATAAACAAAGTGTCTATGATGGTGGGGATGGAGGTTATGCAAGCGTTCAGAAAATTGACTTTTACTTACCAAGGGTGACCTGGCTATGGCCCCTGATGAATTCCCAATTTGCCAACAGCATAGACCAACACTGAGCTCTCAATATGGCACCACTTTTGTGGGGTAATCAGCCAGCCACCTGATGGAAGTTTGATTACATTTGATCTCTTCCATTATGAAAAGGAAAGAGGTTAGTTCTCAAAGAAATATACATTTACTCTGGATATGGGTTTGCCTATCCTGCATGCAATGCTTCTGCCAAGACTACCATCTGTGAACTAATAAAATGCTTTATCCACTATCATGTCATTCCACACAGCATTGCCTCTGACCAAGGCGCTCACTTTACGGCTAAAGAAGTGTGGCAGTGGTCTACTGATTATGGAATTCACTGGTCCTACCATGTTTCCCATCATCTTGAATGGGATCCATTGAATGATTCCATTAAATTAGAAGTTAAGATTGCCCCCTTATCACTTTGGGCTCCTCCTAGGTTTCAGTCATCAGGCTAAGAAAGGAGTTACAGTTTTGGCTGTGGTAATTGTCCTAAACTGTCAGATGAAATCAGTCTACTACTCCACAATGGAGGTAAGGAAGAGTAAGCATGTAATAAAGGAAATCAATCAGGGTGCCTGTTAATATTAACATGTCCTGTGATTAAGGTCAGTGGATAACTACAGCAGCCAAATTCTGGCAGGAATACAAATGGTCCAGACTCTTCCGGAATTAAGGTTTGGGTCACTCTACCAGGGAAAAAAGAAAAGAAAAAGAAAAAACAGCACCTGCTGAGGTGCTTGCTGAAGGCAAAAGAAATAGAGAAAATTTGGTAGAAAAAGGTAGTCATCAATACCAGCTATGACAACATGACCAGTGGCAGAAATGAGGACTTTGAATGTCCTAAATACTTCTTCCTTTTGTTAAAAAAAAGTTTGGCTGGGTGCAGTGGCTCACACCTGTAATCCCAGCACTTTGGGAGGCCAAGGCGGGTGGATCATGAGGTCAGGAGATCGAGACCATCCTGGCTAATCTGGTGAAACCCCATCTCTACTAAAAATACAAAAACAAAATTAGCCAGTTGTGGTGGTGGGCACCGGTAGTCCCAGCTACTCTGGAGGCTAAGGAGGGAGAATGGTGTGAACTTGGGAGGTGGAGCTTGCACTGAGCTGAGATCATGCCACTGCACTCCAGCCTGGGTGACAGTGTGAGACTCAGACTCTAAAAAAACAAAGTTTGTGCATGTATACAAATGTAAAAATATCTTTATTTTTTTTCTTTTTCTTTATCATGTGACATAAGATTTATTGACTTCATATTAATATTTGAGTATTCTTAACTTTACATAATACTATTTGGGTTAGGGATTGGGATGTTCCTGGTTGTACAAAGGATAGTTGTATTATGCTAGTTGTAATTATGACCTCATTATTGTCTTTATTTGAAGATTATGTATGCGCTTACGAGATGTGTATGGGTTCAACTTGACAAGAAGTGGAGCTGTGATGGTTAATACTGATTGTTGACTTCATTGGATTGGGGGATACAGAGTATTAATCTTCTTTTTTTTTTTTTTTTTTTTTGAGACGGAGTCTCGCTGTCGCCCAGGCTGGAGTGCAGTGGCGCAATCTCGGCTCACTGCAGGCTCCGCCCCCTGGGGTTCACGCCATTCTCCTGCCTCAGCCTCCCGAGTAGCTGGGACTACAGGCGCCCGCCACCTCGCCCGGCTAATTTTTTGTATTTTTAGTAGAGACGGGGTTTCACCGTGTTAGCCAGGATGGTCTCGATCTCCTGACCTCGTGATACGCCCGCCTCGGCCTCCCAAAGTGCCAGAGTATTAATCTTGTGTGTGTCTATTGGGTGGTCCCCCCAGAAAAATTAACATTTGAGTAAGTGGGCTGAAGAAGGCAGATCCACCTTAATCTAGTGGGCATAATCTAATCAACTTATAGTGAATATATAGCAGGCAGAAAAATGTGAAAAGCAGACAGGAGCCTAGCTCCACGCCTACATCATTCTCCCATGCTGGATGCTTCCTCCCCTTTTACATTGAGGTCCAAGTTCTTCAGTTTTGGGACTCAAACTGGCTCTCCTTGCTCCTCAGCTTGCAGGTAGCCTATTGTGATCATGTGAGAGTTAATACTTAATAAACTCCTCATACATTTTGTGCTCCATATACAACTAATTGAGCATTACACATGAGGTTAACTACCATGTTGCTGCTAGCTGCTAAGGTTCTGAAACTAATTTTTATTCAAACAGAAAAGATTTTACATTGTATGAATGAACCTCCTTTTTGGATTTCTCTTAATATATATTTTTTCATATTCCACATTTTTTATATTACAGCAATTTTCTCATTCATTTGTTTTATTTTCTCTTATTTTCTAATGTAAATTTTTCTGAAACTATTTATTTTGGGTTATTTTACAACAAGACAGAGCATAAGTAATTGTGATCAAAGATGCCCACTATACAAACTTCTATCAAGTAATTTATTAAACAGTAGAAGATACTTGAGTATTAAGCCAACAACTTTAGCAAAAGCAAGATTTCTCCAACACTGGCAATAATCTTTGAAATCTTAGTTTTCATTTGGCTTGCTTATTGTAATATCTTACAACTTTCATGAATAAGACACATTTAATATTTGTCTTATGACAAATATGCAAAATGTGGATGAATAGGAGTGTGCCAGTGCACATGTGTGCATGTGCATTATGTATGTCTTCCAGCTGTAGTCAAGATTAGTTCTATCCTAAAAGCCGCTGATTGAGTTTTCTCTCTTGGTTCCCCAAAACAGACGTGGCCTAGGGTTTTATTTTGCTATATTAGCATTTTATGGAAATATTTAAAAAGTAATGGGAAAGAAAAGGGGAGAAAAGGAAATATATGCTTTAGTTTCTAACCATTGATTAACTGAACTGACTTCACTAACACTTACCCAACCGTGAATCAACTGAACTTTAAAAAACTTCCTAAAATCCTTCTTATTTACAGAAAGCAAAAATTGAGTTAAGAAATCTTGAAAATATAAAATCAAAGTGTTCTGAAAGTGTGTTTATTTTTTTACAATTTTCTGGAGAGATGTTTCAACACTGTTAATATCTCAAAGATGCCTAAGACTCTAGATTTTAAGATATTTAGCAGCATTTCTAGCCTTTCAGCACCAGACGCTAGTAACAACCTTACCAATTCCACTTCCAGTCATCAACCAGGCATAAAGTAAAACTAAACTTAAATCTACTGACCTACAGAAACCCTGGACAATCACCCCGGACTGTCTGTCGTCTCGATGGTCTTACCATTTATAATCATTCCCCTTCCAAGGTAACTGCTCCAACCACAGTGACCTCGCTGTATTGCAAACAATCTAAGCAGGACTCTGCCAGAAATCATCATGCTTGTCGATCTTCCTACATACTTACATGATTATTCTCTTATTATTTTATTTAGATATGTACTTGCAAGTCACTTTCGAAACAAATTATACTTGTTTTACATAAAACCAAAATGTACTTTATAATAGAGAGTCTTGCCTCATGCATTGTATATGGAATTGATAAACTCAATTAATTAAATGCAAACAAAAACTTTATACTGTAACTACTAAAACAAAAACAAAACATCTAGGATCCCAAATTAGAGGTGTAATATTCAATGAAACTATTTTAAATAACATTGTTATTGGACAAAAATATAGATCTCCTAAATAAAAATAAACTCTGAGATTAGAAAACAATCAGTGCTTTACAAATAAAAATGAAAGCAAAACTACAGAGAAGACAGCTTCAAACCATTCAAAGAAATATCAAACCAATAAAAAAGTGTCTGGACCCTGGAAATCAACAGTTGCTATCAACTAAGCAATCAAGGGAGACAATTTTAAAATTATAAATTTATTTTTGGATTGCCATACTGCCTCCCTGGCACAGATGAAGCCTTCTAAACTGAAATTTATATTTTTAATTTGAGGCCCAGATTCCTGATTCAGGGAGGAGTTAAGAAGCCTTTATGTGCTAATTTACTGTGTTTTTTCTAGTCTTCCTAGGAGATAAATGACGAATTGATAAAACACATTTATTTTTGTTTTGCCTAACTAAGAACTCACTCTTGGTTGAAAATACCAAGAATTGGTCACATATCTTTACGACGTTGAGAGAAAAGAATACAGTTATCTCATACAACAGACAATCAGTTAATACAGATTCTGTTTTTTATGATAGTTTTTATATTGCTCTTATTAAAAATGCTAATGGAACGCATGCTAAGCTTTCAATAACTAAGAAAACACTTTGGAGATATGAATAAAATATATAACTGGCAATATAATATGCAAGCAAAAAATGCCTAGATAAAAGCTAAAGGAATGTGTAACTAACCCTTCTCTAAGAAAAATAGTATTACTATTACCACACTGGCAAAGTTATCTAATACTATTATACTTCTGCTAGGCAGCTACTACATTAAAAAATACAAATCTATTTTAATGGGCACTCAGTGCATACAGATATAATCTGGAACAATAATATAAATTGAGAAGGATAGAAAAGCCCAAGAGTAGCATTTTTTTATTGTTAAAATTAAATTTTAGATCATTCAATTGAGTTAACATTCTTCAAAGTAGGCGATTTTATGTGTAGAATATTACATGAAGTCCCAAATACAACTAATTGTAATATAAAAATACTGAAAAGAATAAATTTTTAAAAATCATATTTTTGAAATGATCAATGGAGGAATTGAGGATCAAATGTGATACAGAAAATATGGAAAACAAGTAAGTAAATGTTAGAGTATGCATTTTTTTATTTGTAATAACTTTAAATATGAGCTCTTGCATGAAAAGGGCAAAGAATGTCAAAAAAGCGCGTTTAAAGAAGGATTTACTTACACGATTTCTATGCAAGTATTACTTTAGGTGAAAAAACATGGAGATTCAAAGTAAAATGACACAGCTTCTGGGAAAAGAATGACTGGACTATAGAGCACTATATATCTGTTTCTTCAAGTGGCAGAATCGGTATGATGCAATTAGTTTGGAACTCCAGAGTCTATCTGAAAGTATACAGTTTCTAAAAGAAGATTTGTACAGTAAACAGCAATTAAATTTGATCATTTTTATAGCGTAGATCACCAGCAGCTATTTATTTTTCATTAGCTACCGCAGTGGTGTGCTACCTTGCGACTACTTCTGGAGCAGCTGGCAAGAGCCAGGATAAACAAAAAGAACTCAGTCCTCCAAATCTCAGGAAGACTTGGGCACCAATTGCTGCTTCTGATTATGGCAGTCCTGACACAGGGAAAAAGTCATGATTTCATTCCCCAAACCTTTTGCAGGCTTTTCCTCCTCCTCCTCAAGCAACTTTCAGAAGATTTAAAGAGCCAATGCATTTTTTTTCTAATTTTTCTTTTTTTTATCTTAAGAGACCAGACAATTATGGACAAAAACATTAAAAAGAAAACATATGTACATGAAACTTTAGAATAAAATTTGTTGTTAAGCACATGTGCCCCAAAATGGTGCAGGCTCAAGAAAGACCCAAGAATAAGTTGAGTAAGACTGACTGCCAGGACAGAAATAACCGACATGAGGAATTAAAAAAACCCTAGCAAACCACAGAGGGAGAAAATCTGATTTTCAAAGTTTCAGCATTTTAAGATTTGTTTTCAACACCAACAAAATCACAAAGCAAAAAGTGAAATAAGAAAGTATGGATCATCCTAAGAAAAAAAAATCACTAACAGAAGCTTTTCCTAGAAAGCTCAAATGGCAGGCTTACTAAAAAATAATTTTAAAAATTAATGTCCTTAGGAAGCTACTAGAATAAACAAAATGATTCTCCTGCCTCGACCTTCCAAAACAAAGAAATTCATGAACAAAAAATGTTAATAAAGAGAGAATAAACTTATTTTTAAAACTAAGAAAAAATTCTGGACCTGGAAAGGAAAACAAATGACATAGAAATTTTCTACATACATTTAAAAGGAGACTTGAGCAGATAAAAGAACAAAATGTTGGCAAACCTAGAAAAATGGCAGTTGAAATTATTAAGTCAGAAAGAGAAAAAGAAATAAAGAAATGCGAACACAGCCTAGATCCAGTAGGACACCATCAAGAAGACCTACTTATTCATTTTGAAAGTTCAAAGAGAAGAGACCAAGAAACAGGGAGTCTAAAGATACAGTGGGCAAGAATATAACACATTTGAGGAAATAAACACCTAGGAAGATCAACAAACTCTAATTAAGACAAACTCAAAGAGACACACTCAAACTTACATGATAATTACACTGTCTAAAACAAAGACAAAGAGAACCTTGAAAGCAGCAAGAGAAGTGACTAGTCATGTAAAAAGAACCCTGAAAAATAATCAGCAGATTTCTTATCTAAAAACTCAGAGTCCAGAAGGCAGTAGACTAATATTTTCCAAGTAATGTAAGAAAAGACTTTCAAACACAAATCTTATGTCCAAATAAAGTCCATCAAACGTGAGGGAAAAATTATGACATTCCTAGATATAAGCTGGGGTCTTTTTAGATAACCCTTTAAGAAATGTTTTATGGAGTATTTCAGGATAAAATGAAAGGATGCTAAACAGCAGTATAAATAAAGATTACGGTAAAGATAAATACGTGAACAATTATAAAAGAGAAAAAATTAACAATGTGCATCTCCGTAATTTGCTCTCCACATAATCGACAATACAATTTTATTAAAAAAAAAAAAAGTGAATTTTTTTCTTTTTCTTTTTTCTTTTTTTTTTTTTTTGAGACGGAGTCTCGCTCTGTCGCCCAGGCTGGAGAGCAGTGGCGCCATCTCAGCTCACTGAAAGCTCCACCTCCCAGGTTCATTCCATTCTCCTGTCTCAGCCTCCCGAGTAGCTAGGACTAGAAGCGCCCACCACCATGCCTGGCTAATTTTTTGTACTTTTAGTAGAGACGGGGTTTTCACCGTGTTAGCCAGGATGGTGTCGATTTTCTGACCTGGTGATCCGCCCACCTCACCCTCCCAAAGTGCTGGGATTACAGGCATGAGCCACCGTGCCCGGCTCTTTTTTTTTTTTTTTTTTTTTTTTGAGATGGAGTCTCCCTCTCTCGCCCAGGCTGCAGTGCAGTGGCCAGATCTAAACTCACTGCAAGTTCTGCCTCCCGGGTTCACACCATTCTCCTGCCTCAGCATCCTGAGTAGCTGGGCTACCAGCTTAACCACCACGAATAGCTTAGCCACCACGCCCTACTATATTTTTCATAGAGACAGGGTTTTACCATGTTAGCCAGGATGGTCTGAATCTCCTGACCTCGCAATCCACCCTCTTCATCCTCCAGAAGTGCAGCGATTACAAGAGTGAACCACCGCTCTTGGCCTGTTTTGTTTTGTTTTTTCTTTTTTTCTCTTTTTTTTTTTTTTTTTTTTTTTTTTTTTTTGAGATGGAGTTTTACTCTTGGTGCCCAGGCTGGAGTGCAATGGCGCGATCTCGGCTCATCGCAACCTCTGCCTTCTGGGTTCAAGCGATTCTCCTGCCTGAAAACCTTCCCAAGTAGTTGGGATTACAGGCACTGTAATTATTAGCCACATCTGGCTAATTTTGTATTTTTAGTAGAGACGGGGTTTCCCCATATTGGTCAGGCTGGACGCGAACTTCCGGCCTCTGGTGAGCCGCCCGCCTCACCTCTCAAACTCCTGAGATTCTAGGTGTGAGCCACTATGCCTGGCCTTGCTTGTGTTTTTGACAATACAATGCATAAAGGTATAATTTTGAGAAATCAACAAGTGAAATAATGGGGGTTGTGCTATAAATGAGTAGGGGTTTCATGTGTTACTGAAAGTAAACTAACGTGACTTTGAACGTGTTATAACTTTAGGATGTTCAATATAATCATCATAGCAACTACAAAGGAAAGAGAACAGGCAGGTAGAAAGCTTTCTGCACTACATCCGTGAGAAGGAGCTGTGGATTTAGTTGGTCTTACCAGACGCTACCTAGCCAGCCATCTTGGCACCTTGAACAGAAGCCTGAGCTGTCCCACCATGGAGTAAATGTGGAGAGCCTGAGGCACATAGCATAGCTGCTTCTTCCCACAACTTTTACTATGCCAGTGGTCATGTAGTGGAAGAGACTCATCCATACCCAGGGCCTGATGAAGCACTGGAGGCAGAAAGCAGGGACTATGTGGAGACTGAACTGAAACAAAGTTGCCACAGCAACTGCCTCAATCCTGTCTCTTTCTTCATGGCTACCCAGGAGGTTGAAGTTTGAACTATTATTGACAAAAGGCAAGACATAAAAGGGAAGACAGAGTATTTGGTTCAATGAAAAGGCTGACACTTGGGAACCAGAGCAGGACCTCGTGAACTGCGGTAAATGTATTTATGACTACAAGAGATGACTAAAAATCAGAAAAAAAGTATACTGACAAGAACAGGTAGAACTTTTTCAATCAATGTCAGAAAAAGGAACTTCCAGGTCTACGAACGCCAACTTTTCTAAGAACTCTCATAAAAAAATGACAGGTAAACATCACAAATCCAAAAACAGCCAGTCGTTTGCTGCCAGCCAGAACGTTAGGAAAATGCAGCTTCACCTCTCTCCAACCCAAAAATATGGAGCTGGTAAATTCAACTATCAAGACATTTGCAATTCTGAGACTGTTAACAGCAAAAACACCGAGAATGGCTTTCATGAACCTGAGAAACTGGACCCTGTTGCACCAGATTCGCAGGACATGTCAGTGCACAAGGTGGCATCAGAGAAGCCCATCAGAGCTTTAGCAGATCTTGGTGCAAACCAGGCTGGAAGAGCGAAGTGGCCCCAGATACACCCACTAATGTCTCAGCTGTCTGGCTCAATTACTACTTCCATGGCCACAGGCTCAGGTAATAAGGAAGGTACACTGGAATTAATGGATCCACTAACAGCCAATGGAACAAGAAACATGTATATATGTGTTCCAAGGGTGAGAGTTGGGCAAAGAAAGACAATTGATGATGAAAAAAATCAGCCTTTTATCAAAAGGATGTATTTCTCCATAAGGCTAACAGAAAGTGCCAGCAGGTTTAGAGACATTGTGGTGAGGAAAGAGGATGGCTTCACCAGATGTTGCTATCAACTAGATCAACAGAGAAAAACTCACTAAATAAAGAAGTAATGAAAGAAATTGAGAATTCTCTGAATATGGCCACTGGGAATGACAGCAAGCTCATGCTGCTCAGTGTAGCTGGCAGTGCCTTTTGCTGTGGTCTTGATTTTGTGTGCATTTAAGAAATGACAGAAACAGAGCAAGCATTGAAATGGTGGTCACCATCAAGAACTTTGTGAATACTTTCACTCTGTTTACGAAGACTATTGTACCAGCCAGTAGCCCAGGCATTGGACTAGGTGCATCTATAATGCTTTTTGTGATTTGGTTTGAGGTAAAGAAAAGGCTTTGTTTCACACCACTTGTACAACCTTTAGACAGAGTCCAGGGGGCTGTTCTACCATCACATTTCCCAAGATGATGGGTGGAGCATCTTCCAATGAAATGTTGATTGGTTGGTGAAAGCCGACAGCATGAAATGCATGTGCCAAAGGCCTGGTCCCTCAGGTGTCTTGGGCTGCAACTTTCACCCAAGAGGTTAGGATCCCTATTAAGGAGCTTGCCTCATGTAATCCAGTTTTGCTAAAGGAATGTAACACTCTTGTTCACTGTAATGTTATGATGGAGATGAAACAGGCCAATGTGAGAGTGTGTGAAGTGCTAAAGAAAATCTGGGGCTCAGCACAAGGGATAGAATCCATGTTAAAGCATGTGCCAGTCTGTCTGCTCAGGACAGAAGGATTGAGCTCAGCAGAATACATAATTAGCTCCAAGATGCCCTAATCTATCTTAATAGCCCCAAACAATATTACCCATAGCTAAAGCTTGAAATGAGAACTGGAAATGTACAAGATATTTATTTAATATTATCAAGGCATTTTAAGCACTCTACCTTTAAAATAAATAATAAAACAGCTACTTGGCCCAAATGTTATTATTTTATGCCCATATAAGCCCTAATATAACAGCAGACTGGTGAGCACTAGACTGTTCTTTAAAGCACTAATTTTTATTTATGGCTACTACTATATAAAAGATAAAACTTGTCTTTTATTAGATTTGGATGACAGAAAAGCCTGTAAGAATGTTTGTTGTTTATATCGTAGAATGCAGAGTCTAATGCTTTGTGAGGCACTCTCTGCTCCCCTCCCCCAAATAGAGACACAGAAACATCTAAGCCAATGCCTTTGACTTTACAAAGTCACAAATAACTCAGAGAGACAAACTTCTAAACCGAACACATGGTTAGAATTCATGTTGAGATATCAATTTATTTTAATTTCTTTCATAAGTTTCTAGTTCTTACCCGGTTAACATGAAGAAACCACTATCTAAACAAAACTTGTGTAGTATTAGTGAATCATAGAAACATTTAGGTGGAAATATTTAAGTTTTTATGTTTATAATGTGTAGTTGTTAGGTTAACTTGGAATAGGTACTACTTAATAAGTTAAAATTCTGAACACATAGTCAAATGCTGAAACTTCTTTCAAAATAAAGGAAAAACACTTATATTATCATTGACATTTAAAATTATCGGTGTCTGATTTTATGTGCTCACAATTTTCTAGAAAACTCTATAAGTTTATCTATCCAGAGCTCTCTGAAGCCTGTCCTCTTGGATTTTTATTGAGGCTTCATTACATAGGCATGATGGAATAATCTACTGGCCACAGGTGAACAATCTTACTTTTGTCACAGTATCTCTAGGCTGTTGCTTCTCAAGCCAAAAATCTCTGTGGATGGTGGCAGCATTGCCCAAGTTTCTCTTGGGGTTGCAGAGCTAATTTTACTGACTCAGCTTGACAGGCTGTGTTTAGCTGAAACTATCAGCTCAGATTCTATTCCTGCTGTGGGTGAGCCAGACACAGAGTAGAGAGAGGTACCTGAGTGACTGTTGAGTCCAGCCACTGTACACAGCTAAACAAACTGTCTGTGATAAGGTGAGCTGATACAAGTGCTAGAACAGGTGCCAACACCCTGCAAGTCTTTGGCTGAATCAGGCATACCACAAGCTGTTTCCTCCATAGGCACTGGAGAATGCAGTGTCATCCAAAAACTTAGAAATGCCAGAAACTGGAGAGCCCCAGAGATGGTGTCACAGTTCTGTCTTTGAACATGTTTAGGTCTAGGCTTCTCAAAGGGTTAAGCCCTTCTAATCCTTTTTGTAAAAACAATTCTGCTAACAATGTGGCAAGTGTGGGTTGGAGTGTTTTAATCCCGTTTCTGTTACTATACTTTTAGTTGTGTCATTAAGAGGATCCTGAGTTCTTGTCCCATGTCCAGAAAGAATGACATATGTGGGAAAATGGAGAGTAACCAAGGTAAATAGATGCTTTATTGAGTGAAGATACAGATCTCAGGATACAAAAAGTGGGTAACTCCATTTTACAAAGAGGACATACCTGCATCTGTGCAACACTCAGTAAATAGGAGACCCACAGATACAAATTTTAGTAGACAGACAGGTTGTGTAAACTTCTCTGAAGCCCTTGGTGGAGGGGAGATTCACAGTGGGTAGCTTCTATGAGCAGGAAGGTTGTTGCGATGTCTCTACATCCCTTAGTTAGGAGGAGACCTATCTCTCTACAGGCATGCAATCCCAGTAAGTGTATAAGTCTCAGTGAGAGGAGGCCCACAGTTGGTAACTCCACCATGAAGAGAAGTTATTTCAAAGTCTGAATAAGTCTGAAGTCCATATGGGCTTCTGAGGACAGAAAAACTGTGATGACTGGTCCATTGGAGAACATGAGTGAGACAGAAAAAGACATCTAATCCAAACCCTAACCACTAACACTAAACCCTAAAAATAACCCTAAAATGCTAACTAAAACCCTAATCTTAACCCCAACCAAAACCAAAAACTAGCCATATCTCTAAACTTAAATGTACCACTACACCTATCCCCAATCCTAAACATACCCCAGCCCTAAACCTACCCAAATCCCAACTTTTAACCCAAACCCTAACCCTAAACTAAACTCAATCCTAACCCTAAACCTAAAACAAAAAACCTAACCCTAAAATTGTAATTCTAACACCTAACACATAACCCTAACTCCTACTTTTACCCCTAACACTAACTCTAAACCTACTCTACCCCTACCTTAAAACAGTGACACTAACACTACCCATATATTGAACAACATCAACTGCAACTCCAACCCTATCCCCAACCCTAACCCCAAGCCCAAATCCAATCTTGACCCTTAATTGTAACCCCAAAACTAACTCTAACACATAATCCTAAAACTGAGCATGACACTGACACTAAACATGACCCTAAGCCAACCTTAACACAAACTTAAATATATACCTGACGCTAACACTGAAACACTAACACTAATGCTAAACACTAACCCTAACCCTAAACTAAATCCTAAAGCTAACAGTAACATTATAATCCAAACCCTAACCCCGTAACACTAACCTTAACACTGAACATAACCCAAACATATAAACTCTAATCTGAACTCTAACCATAAACGATAACACTAACTCTAAATCTACCCCAGTCCTACAACAACCCCAACCTCAAATCTCCCCTTTAATTATACCCCTGATGCTAAAACACTAACCCTAACTTTAACCCTAAAATCCTATTCCTACCCAACTGCAATGCGAACCGTAACTATAAATGCTGAAACCTATCACTAACCCAATCCAAGCCGTAACCACTAATCCCTAACCCTGAACATAAACGTAACACTTAACAAAACCATAACACTACCCAAACCCTGAGGTCTAACCCTGACCCAGACTCTAACTGTGACCCCAAAACCAACCACAAATTGACCAACAACCCTAACCATAAAACACTAAGCCTAGTAAAGACTGTAACAACTAGCCAAAACAATACAACCTAGATCTAAATTTTAACCGCTAATGCCAAACTAAGGCCCTGACCCAAACGCTAATCAAAGGTGACCACTAGACCTAAGCCTAAACCCTAACTCAAAATCTAAGGCTGAACCTTAACCCTAACCATTAACACTATGCCCTAAACCCTAAACTTCAAACAATAACCCTAACAGGTAATGATAACCCTAACCCATAACCCTAACACTAATCCTAACCCTATCTCTACTCCAAACCCAAACTAAACAAAAACTCTAACCCAGACCAAAACACCAAACAAGAAACCTGAACATAAACCTAATCATAATTGTAACATAATCATAACCATAACCCTAAAATTAAAAGCAAGCCCTATGCTAACACAAAACCTTAAATGCTAACATCAACCCTAACCATACACCCTAAACCCTAGATATAACCCTAACAATTAATAATAACTCTAACAATAGCCTTCTAACATTTTAAACCTATACCTAAACTTAATCATAAATGCTAAACCCTACCTTAATCCTCACAATTCACCTTAATCATAGAACAGAGCTAACATTAAATATAAATCTAAGGCTAAACCTAACTGTAACCCCTAACACAAACCTTAATCCAAACATACAACCCTAAATGTAAACCTAACCCTAAACCCTGACCCTAAGCCTAAACATAAACCCTAACCCCTAATTCTAACAGAATTTAACCCTAACCATAAGCATAAACCCTAACCCTAAGCATAAATGAAAATGCTAAACCCAAACTTAACCCTAATCCTATACTGCAACCCTAAACCTAACCCAAACCTACCACTAAGCCTCACCGTAACCCCTTATCCTAACCCTAAAGCAACCTTAACCCTAACCCTAAATGCTATACAATAACCCTAAATCTATCCCTAAACCCTAAACACTAACCCTAAACTCTAAACATTAACCCTAACGTTAACACTAACCTGAAACCCTAACCTCAGCCCAAACCCTAAAACCTAAACTGAATTCTTATCCTTATTCTAACCCTAACTCTAAGCCCTAACCCTAACAGTAACACACTAACCCTATTACCCTCACCCTCACCCTCACCTTAACTCTAACTCATAACACTGACCACAACCCTGGCCATGACCCTAACCTAGAACCTAACCCTACCTACCCTGGCTCGTAACCTCTAAGTATAAGCCTGTTTTTTAACCTAAACCTAAGCATAACCTGATCCCAAACCTAACCTAACCTAACATCTAAACCTGATTCTAACTCTAGCCCTAAACTTAAAACTAAACTTGACCCCTGACCCTAATCCTAATTCTAACCCTAACCCTAATCCTACCACACTAGACCCTAACCCAACCCCAGCCCTAACCCTCAATCTAACACTAACATTTCTTCTGCAATTGTAAACCCCTATCCCTAACACCCAACTTCTATCCCGTGTTTAATGTTACCCCATCTTCCTTCAAAAAATTTTAAATATATCCTCTATGACTCTAACCTCTAAGCCCTAATGCCCATAAGAGTACACCAAGCAATACTTCTTTGTAATTCCAATTGAGTAGCCAATTAAACATATGATATCACTGGGACAAAAAGCTAAATATTAACAAATCTGATAATTATAGACATCATAATGTTTAAACAAATACTAGTACATGGAATTAGGTACATAGTGAAGACATTACACACCTGAATGACTAAGTTCTTTTTTCAGAAAATCACGGGTTTTTCAACATTCTAAAGCCATCCCTTTTCAATATATTATGTAAATTAAATGATGAAAAAACACTACATGTTTATCTCAACTGTTACAGAAACTACTTAAATATAGTCAACAAATTTAATAATACAAACATCCAAAAAATGGGTTTGAATTTCTTTGATATGATAAAACATCTTTATGTGAAGCACATAACAATCATCATCTGAGCTGCTGTGTACCAAATCTTTAAGATTAGGAATGTAGCACTGATGCCCACTTTCATCACTGTATTCAACATTGTTTTAGAACTTCCATCCAGAACAATTAGAAAAGACAAATATATACCAACATATTCATATGTGAAAGACAAAAGTAAAACTTTCTACTCATAGATCTCATAATCTTATATACATAAAATCATAAGGAACCAACAATAAATTATGAAATCTTGTAAACAAATTAAAACTTACAGGACTAGATTACTCCAACTGCTCTAAAACCCACAGGGGCAGGTAGATGGGCATGGAAGGTGGCCTTGGAGCAGAGGCTGTGTTGCTACATTCGGTCCTGGGCTGCAGTGGCTGTGGGGCTAACAAAAACTATTCAAGTTCCTGAGGATTCAAGTAGAATTACTTAAAAACATAATGGATGAAGAAGAGAAAACCTACAATGCTTGTGAAAGCCCTAATGCCATGATATCAAACAGATATATCCTGAGTCATAAATTTGTTGTAAAAGGAGAACATGCACAAACCTCAGCAACAATGAAACCCGTTTGAGTGATCCAGGTCATTTTTCTGAGGAGGAAAGCATTGAGGTCAATTTGAGAGACATCCCTTCACAAGTGCAGCCAAAAGTATGCACATATTTTACCTAAATATTTCACTGAATGTACAGTTCCACAGAGATTCCTAAATTCCCATTTTACCTGAAGCTGCACTAGAACTGCTGATGGCTGTGAACTTTCTAGATTGCATGTAAATACAATTGATTGTATATAAATAAAATGAATTGATATAATAAAATAAATTATAATAAGCTGTCAATTTATTTTTGAGGTGGAGTCTCACTTTGTCACCCTGGCTGGAGTGCAGTGGAACAATCTCCGCTCACTACAAGCTCTGCCTCCTGGGTCCACGCCATTCTCCTGCCTCAGCCTCCCGAATAGCTGGGACTACAGGCAACTGCCACCACACCCGGCTAATTTTTTGCATTTTTAGTAGAGACGGGATTTCCCCATGTTAGCCGGGATGGCCTTGATCTCTTGACCTCATGATCCACCCCGCCTTGGCCTCCCAAAGTGCTGGGATTACAGGTGTGAGCCACTGAGCCCGGCCAGCTGTTAGCTCTTTTCAGTGTTTAAGACCTGTAGTTGAGATGCTATTTTTCATCTAGACAGTGCATTCCCTGTATGCAATGTAACTATAAAATTAATTGTAAATAAGGTTGCCTTTTGTTATTTGCATAGCAGAGTTGAAATGTGTTTGCAATATGAGCAAACTAAGGACATTTTCACAAACTGTGAAACAAATATGCAACTCATAAATGGGTTTGCCTTATGCTTTGTATATGACTCTTAAAATGAGAATTGATAACATAAAAATGCTGAAAATTAGGCATAAATGAATAACTGCATTTTAAAAATGTTCATACCTTAGCCAAAATGTTGATTTTTATCTAACCCTAACATATTAAATGTTTTATCAATGCCAATAATCCCAGCACTTTGGGAGGCCAAGTGGGAACTCTACAAAAAATACACACAAAAAAATCAACCAGGTATAGTGACTGAGGCTAAAGAGGAAGGATTAACTGAGCCTGGGAGTGAGAGGTTGCAGTGAGCCATGATGGCACCTCTGCACTTTAGCCTGGGCAACAGAGAGACCCTGTCTCAAAAAAAGGAATAAGATTTGAAATTTTTATTTTCTTTTAAATAAACTTCAGTATTCCTTAAAAGTGTCAGCCTGGAGCAGCGGCTCAGGCATGTAATCCCAGCATTTTGGGAGGCCGAGGTGGATGGATCACCTGAGGTCAGGAATTCGATACCAGCCTGGCCAACATGGTGAAACCTCATCTCTACTAAAAATACAAAAATTAGCCAGGCAGGATGGCAGGCCCCTGTAATCCCAGCTACTCGGGAGGCTGAGGCAGGCAAATTGCTTGAACCTTGGAGACAGAGGTTGTGGTGAGCCGAGGTCATGCCACTGCACTCCAGCCTGAGTGACAGAGCAAGATACCATCTCAATAATAATAATAATACTATACAATAAAAATGTCTAGTCTTGACATTTTGTTTATTGCTACAAGTTAAGAACTTAAAAAAAATAATTTTGGAATGTTACTAGGTACAATTTTTGAAGAAGTAACTGAACTGTATCCAGATGGTCAACAAGTCAACTATATGACTTAAGAGTTCTTGTACATTATACCTTTTGGGCAATTCAAAGTACTATATTTTTATTGACTGTAAAGCAACACATCCTTGGCAACATTCAAAACAGAAAAAAAAAAAAAAAGGCCAGGTGTGGTGTGGTGGCTTATGCCTGTAATTCCAGTTCTTTGGGAGGGAAAGGTGTAAGGATTGCTCGAGCCAAAGAGTTTGAAGCTGCGGTGAGCACACCGCCCACCACACTCCCACCTGGGCCAGAGACTGAGACGCTTCCGCAAACAACAACAAAATCAGTGGTAATAATATTTTAAGCTTAAATTTAACCACGGTGCAAGACTTAGACATGAAAAATTATAACATATTGCTGAAATAAATTTCAGAAACCCTAAATAGATGTAAAGACACTCCATGTTTCTGGATTAAAGGTGATATTTTGTATGATGGCAATAATACACAAAGCAATCTACAAATTCACTGTGATTCCTATGAAACACCAAAATTCTTTTGGCAGAAATGGGCAAGCCAGTCATAACATTCATATAAATTTCAAGGCATTCTGAGTAGATAAAATATTCTTGAAAACAAAAACCAACTTGGATCTCAATTTCAAATATTACTACAAAGGAACAGTAATAAAAAGACCATAATACTAGCATAAGGACAAACATATAGATCGATAGAACTGAATGTTGAGTCCAAGAATACCTCTATAGTCAATTGATTTTTGACATGTAGCCAAGACCATTAAATTCAACAAATGGTGTTAGACCACTGACTACTAAAATTCAGACAAATAAATTGTACTCTATCCTCATAACATGTAGAAAAGTTAATTCAAAATGCTTCAGAAGCCTCAAAAATTAACTCAAAATGGTTCAAAAAGTTTAATATGTAAACAGAGGTAAAAATGTAAACTCTAGAAGAAAACATAGGGATAAATGTTCATAACCTTGAATTTAGCAGTAATTTCTTAGATGTGATACTAAAATCACAGGCAAATAAAGAAATAAATTCCTCAAATTAAAAACTTTTGTGGAACAAAAGACACTGACAAGAAAGTGAAAAGACACACCACAGAAAGAAAGATTCACACATGATATATGTGACAACAGTGTGTTATCCACAATGTATAAAGAAATTGTATAACTCAACAACATAAAAGACAAACAATCCAATTACAAAATGAAGAAATAGTGGAACACACACTTCGCTAAAAAACACGCATATGGAAAACAAGCACAAAAAAATATGAACAGTAAAATATGTAAGTTCTACTCTATCATGTGTTTCATATAATAGCTTTTCTCATAATCATGTGATTCTGTGTGGTATAATTACTACTTTTTATCTCTACCTGAGGAACAGACAAGGTAACAATACTGCTTGGGGGTAAGTTTCGTTGGATGAAAAAAAAATGCCTAGCAAAAATGACGTTCTGAAATGAAGACTTTCCTCATGGACTAGAGTTTCCAATAAATGTTACCGTTTGTACCTCAGCCTCCAGAGGTCGAGAATTTGGGAGACAGGATAACAGCAATGTTCAGGGAACAAGAGAGATAACCTTAAAATCTGACCACCGGTGAGCCAGCAGAACAGAAACACATTTCTCTTCTTTCAAAAGCAAATGGGAAAAATATCGCTGAATTCTTTTTCTCAGCAAGGAACATCCCTGAGAAAGAGAATGCATCCCTGAGGGTAGGCCTCTAAAATGGCCACTTTGGGGGGTGGCCATCTTTTATGGTCAAAGCTGTAGGGAAGAAATGAGCCCCAGTCTCCCATAGTGCTTCCAGGCTTAATAGGATGAGGAAATTCCTGCCTAATAAATTTTGGTCAGACCGGTTGTCTGCTCTCAAACCATGCCTCCTGGTAAGATGTTATCAATGACAATGCATGCCTGAAACTTCATGAGCAATTTTAATTTTGCCCCAGTCCTGTGGTCCTGTGATCTCACCCTGCCTCCATTTGCCTTCTGATATCTTATTACCTTGTGAAGCATGTGATCTCTGTGACCCACACCCTATTTGTACACTCCCTCCCCTTTTGAAAATCCTTAATAATAACTTGCTGGTTTTATGGCTCAGGGGGCATCACGGAACCTGCAAGCATGTGATGTCCTGCCCGGACACCCAGCTTTAAAATTTCTCTCTTTTGTACTTTGTCCCTTTATTTCTCAGACTGGCTGACACTTAGGGAAAACAGAAAAGAACCTACGTGAAATATTGGGGGTGAATTTTGCCTGATATCTGGCTGAATTTCCCCTGATAAATGGGGAAATTAAATTATTATATCTACTTCTGTTCCCTGGAAAGCAGAGCCAGGAGAGTGTATAACACAGCTCCTGATTGTGCCATATGTGAGAATGGGAAAATTTGAAATTAAATGAACAGAAGGATTTGGAAGCACAAATAAACAAGGCAAAGCAGCTTATTGGGTAAATCAAATTGCTGATAAACATCCTGCCTGTGAAATAACTATTGAGGGAAAGAAATTTAAAGGTTTGGTAGATACAGTAGTGGACATTTCAGTCATTTCTCTACAGCACTGGCTGTCTGGACTGCCAATTCAACCAGCTCAATTTAACATAATTGGAGTTGGTAAAGCCCCTGAAGTATATCAAAGTAGCTCTATTTTACATTGTGAAGGGCCCAGTGGACAACCTGGGACTGTTCAACCAATTATAACTTCTGTACCTATAAATTTATGGGGAAGAGATTTATTACAACAATGGGGACCACAAGTTCTAATTTCAGAACAATTATATAGCCCTGAAAGTCAACATGCAATGCATGAAATGGGATATGCCCCTGGTAAGAGAGTAGAAAAAAAAAAAAACGGAAGTTTTGAAAAAACTGCTTCAAGCGGAAAGGCAAAGTTCTCGCTAAAGTTTAGGATACCATTTTTGATGGTGGCCATTGTTAAGCCTCCAGAAGCTATACCTTTAAAGTGGTTAAGAGACAAGCAAATTTGGATAGAACAATGGCTGCTAAATAAAGAGAAACTGGAGGCTTTAGAGAAATTAGTTACTGAACAATTAGAAAATGGGCACATAGCTTGAACTTTTTCCCCTTGGAATTCTCTAGTTTTCATAATTAGGAAAAAATCAGGTAAATGGAGAATGTTAACTGACATAAGACCCATCAACTCAGTTATACAACCTATGGGAGCATTACAGCAAGGATTGCCTTCTCCTGCTATAATTCCAAAAGATTGGCCTTCAATAGTCCAGATTGAAAAGACTGTTTCTTTTCTATCCCTTTAGCTGAGCAAGACTGTGAACGGTTTGCATTTACAATTCCTGTGGTAAACAACCTGTATACTGCAAAGTGTTTTCATTGTTTTACAGATGGGTCTAGTATGGTAAAGCTTCTTATTCTAGCTCAAAAAGCAAAATTTGCAGATGTCCTATACTTCAGCTCAAAAAGCAGAGCTTATAGCTGTAATTGAGATATTTACTGCTTTTGAAATGCCTATTAATGTGATTTCTCATTCTTCATACATGGTTCATTCCACACAGTTAATTGAAAATGCTTAGTTATGATTTCATACAGATAAAGAACCGATGACTTTATTTACCCAATTGCAAACAACAGTTAGAAGTAGAATACACCCTTTTTACATCACTCACATTAGGGCTCATATACCTCTTAAAGGACCTTTAACTGAAGGGAATCAAAAGGCTGACCACCTAGTTGCTAATGCAATATCTAATGCTAGACACTTTCACAATTTAACCCATGTTAATGCCTCCAGTCTCAAATGCTAGACACTTTCACAGTTTAACCCATGTTAATGCCTCTGGTCTCAAACACAGATACAGCATTACCTGGAAATAAGCTAAAACTATTATCCAGCAATGCCCAACTTGCCAATTGGTACATTCCTTATCTTTTACAGGAGTTAATCCTTGAGGATTGGAACCTAACTGTCTTTGGCAAATGGATGTCACACATACACCCTCGTTTGGGAGACTAGCTTATGTACATGTATGTGTGTACACATTTTCTCACTTTTTCTCGGCTATGTGCAAATCAGGTGAATCTTCTGCCTGTGTTAAACATCACCTTTTGCAGTGTTTTGTGGTGATGGGCATTCCAGCTTCTACTAAAACAGATAATGCCCCAGGCTATGCTATCCAAACCCTAGCTACATTTTTCTCTATGTGGAATATTAAGCACATTACTGGTATCCCATACAATTATCAAGGACTAGCCATAGTGGAAAGAATAAATCTTTCCCTAAAACAGCAGTTGCAAAGGCAGAAAGGGGGAAATAGAGAATATGGAACCCCACAGATGCAACAAAATCTAGCATTATTAACTTTAAAATTTTTGAGCCTGCCCAAAGGCCAGATGTTATCAGCAGCTGAACATCATCTACAGAAACTGGTTGCAAAGACAGAAGTGGAACAACTGATTGGGTGGAGAGATCCAAAAATAAGAAGTTGGGAAATAGGTAAAATAATAACTTGGGGTAGAGGTTATGCTTGTGTTTTTCCAGACTAAAATCAACAGCCGATTAGGACACCATCAAGACACCTGAATCCCTATCATGAACCAGACTCTGGGAGGATCCTGAGGACCCCTCAGTTGCAGCCATATTGAGGTTGATGCTGAGGAGGACCCCAACTGTCATGAGCAACACCCATTGAACACAGTCAACCACCTGGGGACAGATCAAGAAGCTGTCACTGATGGCAGAAGAAAACCTGAGGAAAGCGGGACAACCAGTCACAACAAGTAATTTAATGGTAGCTATGATAGCAGTTATCACCACTGCCATGAGTATTCCTTCAACAAGGGTTGAGACAGAGAACAATTATTCTTATTGGGCATATTTATCAATCCTGGCTGGTACTTATGCCTGAATATAATCACTCTATGACACGGTAGCACATGCTTTCTGATCTCAGTATTTACCATAATAAATCTGCTCCTATAATTGAGGCATACCACCTTCAAAAACCTATTTGTAAATAAAACAGAATGTGGCCAAAAATAATGAACCTACTTGTTTACGAAGATTGCTTTGCAGAAGAGGCAGAGGTGCTGCACAATGATTCCTATGGAATCATGATTGATTGGTCCCCTAAGGAGATGTTTAGCTTGAATTGCACCTCTCAGTCTGTGTGCCATGGCTACACTATGTTCAGCTTGTCTGAACAAAATGATCAGATGGTAGAAATGATAAGACGTACTGCAAGAGTTCCTATTATCTGGAACCATGGTAGTATAGTGGTACCTCAACCTCAAATGACATGGCCCATTGTAGAAGCTAAACATAAGGATTTACAGAAACTATTAGTAGCTCTTAATAAGATCAAGATTTGGGAAACCATAAAAATAGTATCTAAAAGGACATTCTACAAACTTGTTTTTGGATATTGCAAAATTAAAAGTACAAATATTTAAAACATCCCAGGCACACCTGACCTTAATGCCAGGATCTGGAGTGCTTAAAGGAGCTGCAGACAGATTCGCAGCTAGTAACCCATTAAAATGGATAAAAACACTGGGAAGCTCTGTGATTTTAATGATGATTGTGCTTTTAATCTATGTTGTTTTTCTGTATATAGTCTGCAGATGTGGATTCTGACTTCTGCAAGAAGTAGCTCACCATGACAAAGCTGACTTTGCTTTTATCAATTTGAAAATCAAAGAAGGGGGCATGTTGGGAACAGGCCCCCCAAATCTGGCCATAAACTGGCCCCAAACTGGTCATAAACAAAATCTCTGCAGCACTGTGACATTTGCATGATGGCCATAAAGCCCATGCTGGAAGGTTATGGGTTTACAGAAATGAGGGCAGGGAATACCTGGCCTGCTGAGGGTGGAAAACCACTTAAAGGCATTCTTAAGCCACAAACAATAACATGACTGATCTGTGCCTTAAGGATATGCTCCTGCTGCCATTAACTAGCCCAACCTATTCCTTTAATTCAGCCCATCCCTTCATTTCCTATAAGGGATACTTTTAGTTAATTTGATATCTATAGAAACAATGCCAATGACTGGCTTACTGTTAATAAATATGTGGGTAAATCTCTGTTCGAGGCTCTCAGCTCTGAATGCTGTGAGACCCTTGATTTCCTGCTTCACACCTCTAGATTTCTGTGTGTGTGTCTTTATTTCCTGTAGTGCCACCGGGTTAGGGTCTCCCCAGCTAAGCTGGTCTTGGCACAGTTTCAAATGAGCAGTATACACAATATACAAATAAGAAAATATGATTAATATTCCCTAGGTTATATTTTGGTAAATATATTTGGGTAAAATGTTATTTGTTTTGGAAGCTGCATGGAATTCCTGGAAATTTGTGAATGACCTATCTATTATATGTCCCAGGATAATATCTTGAGTCATAATTCTAGTCATTATTTTAAATGTTGTTTGCCACAGAAGAAAACAAATTTTCTTGCTAATTGTAACATAATGAATGTCATTAGATTTTTAACCATGGCCATTTTGCACCTTTTCTAATTTACAGGTAGTTATTATTTCAATATCATGCTTTTCCTTTTGCATCTGCACTGGCTAGAGATCAGAATGTTTGTCTCCAACAAGGCACTGCCTCTGATACCGATGGAAACAACTGTAATGCGTCCTCTGGGCACAAGCATCTGATGTCAAAGTTTCAATAATTTTATGTTTATACTATGGGACTGAGTAATGATATCCAGAACTCTAGTGGAGAAACTGATGGTCTCATGGAACTGCTAATACAAAATCAAGCAAGACTGGAATCAATTACATAGTATTTAATGAACTGATGAAGAATGATTATTTTATAGCTTTTGTTTTTGGTTTGGCAAATTGTTGGTTCTGTAATATTCTATTTTTCTGTGTTCAAGAATCCCCATTTTTTCTCTTAGGCTAACTGTTTAATAGCGTACATTTTTGTAGACAGAAATGAAAGACTTACAAATCAAATATAAAATTTTAAGTTTCCCCTCAAACCTGCCCACCACAGGGATCTGAATGGACCCCTCCTTTTGGCCAAGGGCCTTTTAAAATTGGTTCAGGTCCTGAGAGGAAAGAAGGATAGACATGCTTCATTATACACTCCACCTTTTTGAAATTTAGGGAAAGTTGACCATCATTAACATCAACACAGACCTTAAGTTTGACAAGAAATATTTACCACCTATTCTCTTTTAAGTCTGCCACATGGAGTCTTCCTCATCTTGATAAACTTTGTCTCTATGCTCCCTATTATTTATTGCAACCCAGTCATTCCTATCCATTGTTTCTATGTCTACAGAAAATAACTCTTTCAACCAACTGCCAATCAGAACGTATTTAAATATACCTATAACTTGAAAGCCCAGCCCCGCACCACCACTCACTTCAAGTTGTCCCACCTTTCTGGACCAAACAAATGTACATCTTACATGTATTTGATTGATATCTCGTGTCTCCCTAAAATGCAGAAAACTAGGCTGTTCCCAGACCATCTTGGGCACATGTTCTGAGGATCTTCTGAGAAGGGTTGTGTTATGGGTCATTGGTCACCCATATTTGGCTCAGAAAAAATCTCTTTAAATATTTTGCAGAGTTTGACTCCTTTCATGAACACATGTATCTTTTTTCTCCCTGCTTAGTCCTCCAGAATTTTGGATCTCATAAAATGTTCTTATTTTCATGGCAATATATTTTAGGTATTCATGCATATTTGTATGAATATGTCAATGTATATTTAAAGAAAAATCATGAAGGTTTACACTATGACTTCTCAGTTATGTGCCCCCTGGGAGAGCTATTAAAAAGGGTAAGTGAAAACTTTGGGTTTTTTATTATATACTCATGTAGGCATTCTGATTGAAGTGAGATGAAATCTCATTGTGGTTTTGATTTGCATTTTCCTGTTGTATTACTGATGATGGGTGCTTTTTACTGTGTCTTCTGGGCAACTGTATGTCTTAGTTTCACAAATGAGTATTCATACCCTTAGCTCATTTGTTTTCATGCTATTGAGTTGTTGGAGTTCCTTATGTGCTGTAAATATTCACCCATTAACAGATGTATGGTGATTCAATAATTTCACCCATCTTGTAGGATGTCCCTTCCCTCTCTTCAGTTTCCTGTGGTGTACTGAAGCACCTTAGCTTGACATAACCCGATTATCTATTTTTGAAGGTGTTTACTGTGCTCTTGCAGTCACTTTGAGACCACCATTGCCCACACCGATGTCATGGAGCTTCTTCCTTGCGATTTCTTCTGGTATTTTTGTCGTTTCTTGTCTGACATTGGAGTTCTGTGAGACATAATCTACTCTTAAAATCCTTTATGTGGATATTCAGGTTTTCCCCAACCTAGTTTATAGCAGATACCTGATTTTGCATTGTGCATTCTTGCTTTTTTGGGATAAGGTCATGAGCTGCAAATGCGGTGACTTAGTTCTGGGACCAGATTGTTTTTCATTAGCTCATGTCTCTGCTTGTCGGCCAGTGCTGTTCTATTTTGGTGCATAAAACTTTGTAGCATATTGTGAAGTTAGGTAGTATGAAGCCTCCAGCTTTGTGCTTTTTACTGGATTGTTCTGGGTCTCAGGATCTTCTACCATTTCATAGCAAATTTAGGATTCTCAGATGGTTTTTCTATGAAAAGTGGGTCACTGATACATTTACAGGGGTTGTACAGAATCTGTAGATCACTTAGGTAGTATTGATGTCAATGCCATTTAGACAATATGTTTTTGTGTGCACATGCTCAGGTCTGAGAGACATTTGGTGTCCTCACTAATACTTAGGTGGGTCCTAATGTCCAGCCAGATTGCCTTCCTGAACACACACAGAAGGTCCCCTTCCATTTTGCCATCTCTTCACATTTCTTCCCCTGTGAAACCTGTGTCGTCTGGATGGCAGAGGGGAAACAGCATGTCAGGAGTCATTGACACAGAATTTGACAGGTCTGGGAGAGCCATTCTGGGAAGATGTAGACCTAGAAGGGCCTCAGGTTGGCATTTGTGTGGAGGGTGAGAGCACCCTGGGCCTGACTTCTCTCCCATTGACCTTAGTTACTTACACCTCTTAAGTAGCTTAGGGTTCCCCAATACTGAAATGTGGGTGCTACAGTTCCCTGATGGGCCTTTCCCCCTGAGCGATGAATAGCCTGAGTTTACTTACCTCAGTCTCCTCCTTGAGCCTTGGCTTCGCTATGTATCCTGGCTCCAGGACCCACAGGCCTCTCATCCCCCAGCCCTGGGCTGCTTCCCTGGCCTCTTCTCTGTTCCCTCTCTGAGGGCCTAACTCCCTTGGGTAGTGCTGCATGAGATTGAGCCACGGGCCCTGGCTGATGATCTGGGGGACTGGGCAAAGTAGTCGTGACAGGTTAGGTTCTGGTTCAAAGCCAATTCCTCTGATGCCAAGGAATGACCAGCTCCTTACCTATGATGTCCCACAGCTGCCCCACTTCAGCAATCCTGCCATACCCTGGTCAATCACCATCAGTCAACCAGCTGAAGAAGCTCACTTAGGTTGTGTCCTGCCTGAAACTGAGGCCTTCACTTGCATGACCCTAGAACAACCGGACTGTAGTGGAGGTAGTCACCCTGTATCCTGGAGGGGAAGGAGTCAGGAAGGCTCATGCCAGGCCTAGCTTCCCACATACCATCCCCTCTACCATGCCGGGAGGCACTCCTTATTGAGAATTCCAATGCAATACTCCTTAATGATCACTTCATTGTGGAAGTAAATGTTGTGATGAAAGGCAAACTTCTTCTTGCCACTTGTACTCAGGGTGGCTGAGTTCCTCCACCTGCCTATCCAAGAAGGAGAAAGAGGACAGTCAATGGACAATTTCATCTAGGTGGGTTGAGGTGGCCTGCTAGCTGGGGTGAAGCATGCATTTTCCCCTTCCCGGCTTTCCCGCTGAGACATCCCTGAGCCCCAGGAGGACCTCAACCTGACCAGGACTTGGAACCCTCCCCCAGAACCAGGCTCCCCATCCTCACTTGCAAATCCATCATGTAGCTTTGCAGGACTTCCTCATAGTTTCTGAGCTACTTGCTCTCACCAGAAATAATCACAACTTTTAAACTGTTCTTTCTGTCAAATTAATTTTTTTATTTTTACTACCTCATGTTTTGGATGAGGTATGTATTTTTAAATTTATTTTCACCCTTATTGTAACTCTGTGATAAACAGTTTACTAACATTCATACAATAATCATCCTTCACTTTTACTTGTCTGTTCCTAAAGATTCACTGAAACTAAGAATTCCATTTCTGTTTGTATCTTTCAGCAACCATACGTCAGATAACAATGCCCATTACTGCAGAAATCACATATACAGTTCCAATAGGAGATGAAGAAGAAGAAAGCAAGATTTAAAGTCTATAAGTTCCCAACACTGTATCAGAAACTCAGTAATCATAGTGAAATCAAAGAATGATCACAGCCAATTCCATCTCATATCTAGACTGAAATATAAAATTTCAAAAGAAAAGAAAGTTAAGAACTTTGATCTTATAAAAATTTTCCTATATTGATAAAATTATTGGCAACTTTATCTCACTAGAAAACATGAACAAAAATACAACATTTGTATATGTGTAAGTATAAATATTTTTAATTCCATCAGTTACAACATGAAAGCAATTAATAAAGTGAAAGTGCAATACAATAATATATGGAACTTCCTCAGTCTCAAAATACTCCGTTGACTATTAATTTTATGAAAACCATAAAGAATGCTTCATGAAACTACATTGTACAGTAACTTTTAGTATTTTAGTTACATGTTAAATAATCAACATATTAAAGGGAATTCTTCAAAATTATTTATTACCAATACCCTTATTCTATTTAGGTAATACTTTTGAAATTAAGTATTTTAAATAAAGCATTAAATACAAATTTTATTGACTGATTTCAGCCTTTGATGAAATCGTACTTCTGTATTTGTTGTAATGTGAAGTGTAACTTTCTCCTCACAATGGATCTTTTGTAACACCAGTGTTATTTTTTTCTCTGATAGAAACACTATGATATCTCATAGCTTTACTGTATCCATATATTTCATGCCTCCAGGGAGTAGGCTTCAAACATATAGAAAAACTGTACTTGTGACAAAATTCCTGGAAAGGGAATGGTAAAATGGGAGAATAATTTCTAACTTTCTGTTGGTCAATGGATTTGTATATCTTTAGATATAGACACATATTTGCACACTGTGAATTTGCATATGTACATATAAATTTATGTAATTTCATAGGTGTGAAATTTGATAAGTGGTTACCTTATCTGTACTCAATTTGCTGGAAAGCCAACAAAATCTCTGTCAATATTTATTTCAATTAATCCAGTAATGTTGACTGTTGATAGCTTCATTCTCCTTGATCCTTGTTGGCAATCTGAAACTTGATGCTCACTCGAATTCATCTCTCAGGGCGCCATCCACAAGAGACAGTCACCTTGCTGTGGATTGTGACCTCTGACTCCTCCTCTTTCTTACTGTAGCAGTCCTACCTTTGCATATTTAATAAACTTTGTACATGGTTAAAAGGATAAAAGTTCAGTGAAATGTCAAGCCATGCTGTGAAATATTCAATTGTTTCTATATCTCTAATTGACCTTTCATGTTATAGAGGACAAGAAAAACAATTCATTATGTTTCTTAGTATGCAGTCCAATGCCCTCTTTCTTATTAATATGCCAAACCCATCCCTTCAAGGCACTGACATCTAAACATGGCTGGACATCTCAAAATCTCTTCTCATTAATAACCATTATGTTAATCACTGTTACCCAGAACTGGAATCTGACTGTGAAATCCCTGGGTAGAAATTGTTATAATGGCTCAAACTATGGGACTGACTATTTTTCACCTGAAAATATCTGATGAGCACATACATATGCTATGTGCATGAACATATTGTACATTAACAACATGCCATCACTGCCAGTAAATAATAGGTATCCCAAACTTATGGGCCAAACTGAGCTCAGGTGCTCCCATAAACCAAACTTTTACCTCCAGAGATTTTCTATGTCAAAAAATGGCAATTCCAAGCCAGACGTGGTGGCTCATGGCTGTAATTTCCACACTTTGGGAGGCGAAGGTGGGCAGGTCACTTGTGGTCAGGAGTTCAAGACCAGCCTGGGCAACATGGCAAACATATCTCTATGAAAAATGCAAAAATTAGCCAGGTCTAGTGGCACTTTCCTGTAGTCCCAGTTACTTAGGAGGCTGAGGCAGGAGAACTGCCTGAACCTGGGAGACAGAAGTTGCAGTAAGCCCAGATCTCATCACTGCACTCCAAACTGCATGACAGAGTGAGAACCTTTCTCATAAAATAAAATAAATAAAATAAAATAAGGCAACAGCATTTAGGTAAAAATATTGGAGTCAGCTGGGCACAGTGGCTCATGCCTGTATTCCCAGCACTTTAGGAGGCCTAGGTGGGCAGATCATCTGAGGTCAGGATTTTGAGACCAGCCTGGCCAACACGGTGAAAGCCCATCTCTACTAAAAATATATAAAATTAGCTGGGCATGGTGATGCATGCCTGTAATCCCAGCTACTCGGGTGACTGAGGCAGGAGAGTTGCTTCAACCCAGGAGGCTGAGGTTTCAGTAAGACAAGATTGTGCCACTGCACTCCAGCCTGGGCTACAGAGCGAGAGTACCCTATGAGAAACAAAGGTGAAAAGAACAAAAAATAATTAGGAAAATAATACCCACTACTAAAATTTGCCACAGAAATGATAAAAACTTCACCAACTTCCACATTCTATATTGGAAGCTCAGGTTATTTGGACCAATCCTCCTGTATTAGTTCATTTTCATGCTGTTCATAAGGACATATCTGAAATTGGGAAGAAAAGGAGGTTTAGTTGGACTTACAGTTCCACATGGCTAGGGAGACCTCAGAATCATGGCATAGGAATAAAGGCACTTCTTGCATGGTGGTGGCAAGAGGGAATAAGGAAAAAGCAAAAGCATAAACCCCTGATAAACCCATTGGATCCTGTGAGTCTTATTCACTATTACAAGAATAGTTCGAGCAAGACCAGCCCCCATGATTCAATTACCTCTCCCTGGGTCCCGTCCTCAAAACGTGAGAATTCTGGGACATACAATTGAAGTTGTGATTTGAAGGGAGGCACATGAAACTATATCACCTCCCAAACAATTAAAAATTCTGAATGGAAAGAACATTAATCATGTCAAAAACTGGCAGGCCAGGAAGGAACTCTTAGCCTCATATCTCAAGAAAGACTGTAGTCAAGGCCCAGGGCCTACTTATGAAAAGAGTTTAATAGCCAACTCTCTCCAAATGGATCTGGAATCCCATAGGATAGTATCTTCATGGTAAGGGTGAAACAGAAGTAAACCCATTCCTGTTTCCAAGCTCAAGGAACTTTGGCCAAAGTTGTCTTGGAGCTGAGCAGAATAAGGAGGAAAAGAGAAAAAAATATTGTGTCCCTGAGAAGTCATGGCCACAGGCTGGCCATCACACAGATTGTCAAGCCAGTTCCATATTGCTTGGGTATTACAGACAAACTCAAAACATCAATTTGTGTGTGAGCTACCCCAGAATAGCACGATCTGGCAGTAGCAAATTTCATCCTAACCCTCAAGGAATCCACTTTTGGGATTTTACCATTTATTTCATGAATGAGAATGGACTTTTTAAAAAATATCTTTTTGTATACTCAATTTATGTGGCATTGGTATCAAAGTTCTGCTTGCCTCACAGAATAAGTTTAGGATTTTCCCTTTTTTATTTTATACAATTCTTTACATATGTTGAAATGCTCTGTCTGGGGAAATAAATCTGGGCCTAGTGTTTTATCTGTAGGAATAATCCTTTATTTCCTTTAACATTTATGAGACTATTCAGATTACATACTTATTCTTGTATCAATTTTTCTTAGCTATATATTTATAAAAATCTATTGATCTAAGTTTTCAGATTCGTAGCACAAAGTGTTAATCATATTTTCTTTTTTGTTATATTTTATTAAATTTAATTAATTTATTTATTTTTAGTTTTTATTTATTTTTATTTATTTTTTATTATTATACTTTAAGTTTTAGGGTACATGTGCACATTGTGCAGGTTAGTTACATATGTATACATGTGCCATGCTGGTGCGCTGCACCCACTAACTTGTCATCTAGCATTAGGTATATCTCCCAATGCTATCCCTCCCCCCTCCCCCCACCCCACAACAGTCCCCAGAGTGTGATATTCCCCTTCCTGTGTCCATGTGATCTCATTGTTCAATTCCCACCTATGAGTGAGAATATGCAGTGTTTGGTTTTTTGTTCTTGCGATAGTTGACTGAGAATGATGATTTCCAATTTCATCCATGTCCCTGCAAAGGACATGAACTCATCATTTTTTCTGGCTGCATAGTATTCCATGGTGTACATGTGCCACATTTTCTTAATCCAGTCTATCATTGTTGGACATTTGGGTTGGTTCCAAGTCTTTGCTATCGTGAATAATGCCGCAATAAACATATGTGTGCATGTGTCTTTATAGCAGCATGATTTATAGTCCATATTTTCTTATTAGCTTCCTAATCTGTACTGTATCTATTGTTATGTATCTTTTTAATTCTTAGTTTTATTTGTGCTTTCTCCCTTTTTTTTCTTAACTTGCCTGAGGTTTGCATCTTTTATTATGTTTCTCCAACAACCAAATATTATCTTTGTATGTTTTACTAATTTTCTCTACATCATCATCCCTGCACTTTAGTTTTTCAGAATTGATTCTGTTGTTTCTTTTCTAATTCTTTATGTAAACACCTAGTACATTAATTTTTAAGTTGTAGAAACATTTAAGTGTATAAACTCCTATTGCAATATCACTTTTCCTGCTACTCACAAATTTCATTTGTAATATTTTCAATATCATTAAGTTCTAAGTACTTTTAAATTTCTATCATGATAATCAATGATAGGGAGCTGAGAAATATTTATGTTATTAATTTTGTTGTTCAACTTCAACTTAATTTTATTTTAATTTGTGTTAACTCAATGGAAAATTCTTTACAAATTTAAAATCTCATATCGAGACTTTTATTCACTTCAATTGTTCTATAAATGCTCTCACCTTGAAGAATACTTCCTTGTTGGCTGTTTCCCTGCAACAGTCTTGAATGGTTGCCCTCTAGGCCTGACTCAATTTTCTCATCCTAGGATTTTCCTTCACCACACTTTTAAGAATTTATTCTCTTGCGTTATGTCTCCTATTTTTGGCATTCCATGTCTTTCTCTTTCTTAGTTTACTTTTTCCTTTTGGTAGGAAAAAGTCTGTAGTAGCATCTTGAGAATAGGTTCACAGGGAGACACAATGTTAGAGATGTCATATGTCCAAAAAATGTATGTTTTCTACTTGTACGTTTAATTTTTTTCTATGTGGAAGTAGAAACATATGTCAGAAATCATTTTCCTTTAGAATTTTCAAAGCATAACTCCATTGCCTTCTGGTTTATAGTGATGGTGTTGAAAAAAATTTTTTTGAGGTACAGTTTTGTTCCTGTTGCCAGGCTGGAGTTCAATTGCATGATCTCAGCTTACTGCAACCTCCACCTCCTGGGTTCAAGTGATTCTCCTGCCTCAGCCTCCTGAGTAGCTGAGATTACAGGCAGGTGCCATCATGCCCAGCTAATTTTTTATTTTTAGTAGAGATTGGGTTGCTCCTTATTGGTCAAGCTGGTCTCAAACTTCTGACCTCAGGTTATTTGCCCATCTTGGCCTCCCAAAGTGTGCCTTGGCTTCCCAAAGTGCTGGGATTACAGGCGTGAACCACCACTCCTGGCCAGTGCTGAAAATTTTTAAATCATCTGATTCCTCATCCTTTGTACCTGACCTATTTTTGCCCCTCTGGAAACATACAATTTTCTCTGTTTTCAGCGTTCTCAAATTTTACACTGATATATCTTGAGATGAGTCTATTTTCTTCTGTTTTTCTAGGTGCTAGCCTTTTAATCTACAAATTGAGCATCATTAACTTCTGAGACTTTTTATTAAATTATTTTGCCAACAATTTATTCCCCTTAGTTTTATTTATTTCTTTTCTTTCTATAACACATATAATTTAAGTATTGGAAGAAATTATCTTGGAGAAGAAGATAGCACCACACTAATTCTGTTTGTGTCAAACTATCACAGCTCAAGATTTTCATATTTTATTATGGAGAAATGTTGTATTTCTTGGTATTCACATTGTTACCTGAAAAAGGGCAATGACTGGTCAGAAATTGAAATGTATGAGTAACAGTTAGAAGATGAAAGCACTGTATCCTCAGAACTTTAGTATATGAAAACCTTTAAATTCCAGGCAAGTTGACTTAAGCGTCAACATTCTCCCAGCTAAAATGATCTATTTGTGCTAAGTTCTGGGATCAAATGTGAATAAGACCTTGTTTCTGCCTTCAGTCCAAAGGGAGACAAATAAAAATGATGTACAAAGAGAGATATGTACGATGGACATGGTGGTTCACAACTGTAATCCCTGAACTTTGGGAGGACAAGGTGGGGGTATCATGCAATTAGGAGATCAAGGCCATCCTGGCTAACACAGTAAAACCCTGTCTGTTGTAAAAATACAAAAAGTTAGCCAGGTGTGGTGTCACATGCTTGTAGTCCCAGCTACTTGGGAGGCTGAGGCAGGAGAATCACTTGAATCTGGGAGGCAGAGGTTGCAGTGAGCCAAGATCACGCCACTGTACTACAGCCTGGGTGACACAGTGAGATTCCATCTCAAAAAAAAAAAAAAGAAAAAAGAAAAAAAGGAGGGATATGTAAAGTGCCATAAAAACTGAGAAAGGGGACAGAATATCTGTGACAGATAACTTGTTTTGGGCAGTTGAAAACAACGAGGTCTCAGAGTATCCTTTCATTGTGTCACATTTGACTAAAGGCAGAAACAAATGAATCTTAATATTTATGGGGTCACAGACCCTTTTTAAGGATGTAACGAAATTTATGATGATTCTTTCAATAAAAATTTACATAACAAAAATACACATATATTTTACTTACTAATACAGAATGTGCATCATCAAGAGCTCTTGATATAGGAGAGTCAGTAGGAATGTTTTAGGCAGACAAGAAGGGAAGGGGAGTCCAAACAGAGGAAACAGCATGTGCAAGCACCTGGAGACACAAAAGCTTGTGCATTATTGGAATCAACGTGACTAAAACATAATTCAAGGTGCATAAGCTGGAAGATTAACCAGTCATAGTATAAGATGAAAATAGAAGGCTGGGCCCTGTGGCTCACACCTGTAATACTACACTTTGGGAGGCCCAGGCAGGTGGATCACCTGAGGTCAGAAGTTCCAGATATACCTGGCCCAAATGGCAAAACCCCCTCACTACTAAAAACAGAAAAAGTAGCCAGGCATGGTGGCAGGTGCCTGAAACCCCAGCTACTCAGGAGGCTGAGACAGGAGAATTGTTTGAACCTGGGAGGCGGAAGTTGCAGTGAGATGACAACACGCCATTGCACTACAGCCTGGGCAACAAGAGTGAAACTCCACCTCAAAAAGAAAAAGAAAAAATAGAAGATAAGAAGATAGCCTGGGATACAGCATGAAGTATCACAAATATCAGTCATGCACTTTGTTTACTCAGAGACAAGACCATGATTGATTAAAATTATGGACATCATGTCCACCATCTTCTAACTGTTAACAAATACAACTGGAACAGCTAGTACCTAGTGGAATACTATTGAACGTTCTGACTGTAAGGTTTCACTAGCATTCACTGTAGATGTTGAATGTGGAGTGCTCAAACCTCAAGCTTACAGCTTCATAAAAGAAAAATCAATGTTAGAATGAAACAAAAAGCCCCTCAACTACATCAATTATTTGATTCCTTAGTAACTTACAGCAGAATGGCAGCCTTCAATGAGTATAAATGCTTCTCAATCATAGAAAAAGCTTAGATTTACTGGGGGAGTTTACAAAAGGCATACCACATCTGGGATCTATCCCAGACCAATTAAATCAGAATGTATGGCGATCAATGGATCCTGGACATCTGAACTTTTGAAAGCTTGACAGGTAACATTAATATGCATTCAAAATTGAAAACTACTAGGTTAAGAACAATAATCCATGAAAGTAAGTTCCTATCTATTCATCTGCCCTTAATTATGTTGCACTGTTCTCATGCAGCATGATACAAGTAAAAATTAATTTTTTTTTGAAATGGAGTCTAGCTCTGTCACCAAGGCTGGCATGCATTGGCACAGTCTCGGCTCACTGCAACCTCTGTCTCCCAGGTTCAAGCAATTATCCTGCCTCAGCCTCCCTAGTAGCTCAGATTACAGACACCCACCATCCTGCCTAGCTAATTTCTGTATTTTTCAGTAGAGACAGGGTTTCACTGCACTGACCAGGCTGGTCTGGAAATCCAGACTTCATGATCCACCCACCTTGGCTGGAATGACAAATGTGAGACACCACACTCAGCCAAAATTAATATTTTAAAATATTTAGAAATATGTGTGGTAGGGTGCAGTGGCTCACACCTGTAATCCCATCATTTTTCAAGGCTGAGGTGGGTGGATCACTTGAAGTGAGGTGTTCCAGACCAGCTTGAAACTATGGTGAAACCCTGTCTCTACAAAAAAATACAAAATATTATCCAGGCCTGGTGGTGTGTGCCTGTGGTCTCAGTTACTCAGGAAGATAAGGCTAGAGAATTTCTCAGGAGGATCAGTTGAGCTCAGGAGGTTGAGGCTCCAGTGCACAGAGATTGAGCTGCTGAAATCCAGTCCAGTCTGGGAAACAAAGGGAGGCTCTGTCTCATATGTATATATATGTGTGTGTGTGTGTGTGTGTGTGTGTGTGTGTGTGTGTGTGTGTGTGTATAAAAATACACGCATACATACACATACATACATGTTTGGCCACTTATTTCATCTGCAATGGAAGTCTAAGCAGCATGCTTCAGGGTCAATATCAGGACCTGCAGGGAGCCAGCCTATGCTAGAAATGTTCAGAGTGGGTTTTTTCACATTTTACAGTCTGATCTGCTGAGTGTACTGCCTGAGGCTATTGTTCTCTTCATATCTTGCAGATCTTTCTGTGGAAAAGGCCACATACGTCAACAGGTTTTTTGCTGAGGGTCTTCTAATTGATTGGATGGCCTCTCAGTTGAAGAATTTCTAAGGAGAAGATTTTTCCTCTTTTGGCTCAGGAAACTTCAGGCATCAGATGCACAACAATCTTTAATATTAGCACAGAGAATAAGTTATATCCATTGCCTTAAACAAAATGTACAGAAATCAATGTTTTAGTTAAACCCAAACACTATATAGAGTTTGCAATTAATCGTTTTTATATTCTATATTCTCTTTGTTACTGAACATAGAACTTCAAGAAGAGGGTCACACAATGATTTATTCAGTAAATATGTATAGAGCTTGTGTGTATCAAAAACTGTGTTAAGTGCTGAGATTAGAAAAACATACCATGTTATATGTCCTCAACATGTTCTCATTCTATTAAATGGTGTAATAACACAAGATTGAGTCACAAAATTTCAAAAGAGAAGTACACACAAAAAAAATAGCTAGGCAAATTCATGGGATATTATGATTACTTACAGCTGGTATCAGCTAAAGCCAGGTCTTGAAGGACCATAAATGCCAGGATAGAAAGTTTAGAAGAAACTGTCTGCACAAAAGGGAGTTTTTTTTTTATTTTGTTTCCTTTTCCATAGGAAAATAAGATCAAAGTTTCAGGAAGGTTATAAGACAAAATGAAGATCAGCAAAAGAAGACAGGAGGTGAGTTATGAGTTTTATTAAATGGTTAAACTAATGATGATGGTGGCCTGGGCAAGGAAAGTGGAAGCAAGGACTAGAAGAAAGAGAAAGATGTGAGAATCATTGCAAAGGTAAAGTATAAAAGTCTTAGCATGAGTTTTTAAGTTGAGGCTAGTAAAAAATAAATATTGTGGGATTCTTGGCATTCATCTATCCATCAAATTATTCAACAAATCTTTATTTAAAAACTACTATGAAACAACCACTGTGCTGGGTTCTGGAGGTATAACAATGAATATGGGATTAATGGTCCCTGACTTCATAAACCTTGATGTACAGGGAGAGACAGTTAAAAAATAAAAGACACAAGCACTTGTAAATGATGTGAAGGAAATTTGGGGATGCTGAAAGAGAGTAACAGAGAGTAGTGATGGTTGGTGTAATACACAGAACTACTGTGTTTTGGGTACTAAGTGAAGATTTCTCCAAGGAAGTCTTATTTGATATATCAGAAAGATCAACCATTTGAAAAGCAGAAAAAAAAAACAGCTGCCAAGGCTCTAAAATAGGACAATTTTGGCATAGTTCTGTGTTTGAAGAACAGAGAGTTGCTAATGTGCAGAATAATGTCGAGAATTGGAGTAAGAGGAACATCGTAAAGTAACCAGCAGTTTTAATAGTACAAATGGTGATGCTGTTCTTGATAAAAGCAGTTCCAGTGAAATGAGAACAAAACCAAATTGAACTGAACTGAATAGTGAGAGGGAAGAAATGAGGAAAGTGGGTACTGTGTGTTTAGTGGAGAAAAGAAATGAGGGGTAGGTGGCAGGGGGATAAACAATGGGAAAAATTCTAATTTATGAAAGCAATATAAGAATTTAGATCACAGTTGTATATGTATACTGAGCTGGTAGAGAGGGAGAGATTAACGTACATGAGAAAATAAAATTGAGAGCAGTGGATTGTGGTTTCTAGCACCTACAGTTCACTCTCAGTTTGCCTTTGAGTTGGATAAATGGCTAAAAGCTGATACTTTTTCAAAGCTGGTTTCTATTTAGGAGAGAACGGAGTAGGGAACAAAATGACATTGTAAACTGCATAGAAAAATGAGGATATTGAGTACCATAGAAAAAGAAAAGAGCTCAGGCACAACAATATCTTGGTCTTCAAACCAAATGCTGCCTGCTTCCTAGTCTAGCTTCATATCAGCCCTACTCCAATTTCCAAAAGAACAATGATTGTTTCATTTAATCTAACCAAGAGCACTTTATACATCTCACCATATACATCTGTCATCTCAAAGAAGAAAGAGTATTTTAGGACTAAAAATAAAAAGAATTTAATATTAAGATTAAAATCAAATAAACCTAGCTTCATTGAATACCTGTCTATATTGTTATCTTATTTTTTTAATTTTGCTATGAATTAGTGAAAATATTATCCCAGTCTTATGTCTGTCTGGAAATCAGTATTGGGAAATCACTAGACTGATTGCCTTATGAAATCTCATTCAATTCAAATTCTATGATTCAGTTAATAATTACAAAACATATCATATTTAAAGTAAGATACTGTCCTTTTTAACTTCCATTCAATGATATTATAAATAACTCTTCCCCAAGTCATCTTTGCAGTTCTCTCAATTATACAGGAATCTAAAACCAAACTTTGACACCCTCATTAGTTTCAAAGTCCTATTCTCCCAACTTTTCAGAGAGCCCAGAGCATTTACAATAAATCTATCTCTCTGCACAAAACATAATAGCTTGTTCAACTGTTCTGTCAGCCTGAATGTTGATTAAGACTTCAGCAATCACATTCCACTCTGCAAAATTCCAAAATCACAAATGCAGATTAACTTATGAGAACAGAAGGAAAGTACTTAAAGAAAAAAAAATCCTGCTGAAAGAAATGAAAACACAAAAGAAGTCCCACTGGCTAGCTTATTCAGATATGTTTATTTCTAAAGTGTTCTGGCATCCTAGTTTATTTCTAAAGTGCTCAGCACTCTTAAAGAGAAAATTAAATATTATAACAAATAAGATATTTAAAAAGATGACTTAAGTTATAATAGGTGGACTGTAAATACCAGAATTATCACTGGCTGAGACCTCTGATCTGCAGACATGTGCCTGATGATGCCTTTCTAATCCCAACAGCATGGGCCTGGAGCAAAGTTTATTTTACTGCAAGATCTACTTTATTGAATTCACTGCCTGTTCTAATTCTATGTATTTCTGATTAGCTGATCTTCAAAGCTGATGTTAGTAGAAGGAAATTGTTTCCTGACATGCTAACATTTTAAAGCTAATAGTTTTTTGATAAGCAATTGAGTTTGCAGCATTCTGCTCCTGTTATGTTTTATTGGTGTTTGTGCTTTAATTTGGTATGTGTGTTTTGGCATCACTCCAATGGCAGGTGCAATTTTAAAAATAAGAATCAACTGGATTCACTGTGATGTCCGATATAAGACTTCCAAGGTTAGTTTTTAAAACAAAATGCTAGGCTTGCCTCTATCCAGAGTCCTGTGCAGAAAATATATTGATTCTGTAGGGCTTTCTCTACTGTAGCTTTTTGAAATTGTGTTCTCACTCTTCAAATGTCCAAATCTAGAATTCCCTAAACAGCTTTTACTGAGAACCACAACCTCATCTCCTCCTTTTTCAAAGTGATTAAGTCCATCAAGCAGGAGAGCCCAAGTAAAGTTTATTTTCCCATTAAAATCTTTCTCTAGTGCTTTCTACACTACTGCCAGTTAATAGGAGCTTAATAAATGTTTGTTAAATGACAGTTTGAACGAAATTGTCTTGTCATCTCTTTTCTCTTAATTGCAGTAAGAGAAATTTCTTTTTTCTGAGACTAAACCTTGTCAATGATGTAGAATTTACCTGATTCTTTCCACTCCTGCCTTCTTCGAGACCTAGATTCATTATGTATTTCTTCTTAGTCTAACTGTCTTTGGTTTTCATTTCTTCATTGGCCACTGAGTGGCTTCCTAATAACACAGACAAATGTCTCAGTATTGTGAAAAGTCCTAAAGGGAATGGTGATTTGGACAAGACATCTGCATTGGAACACTAGTTTGGTTGGCAATATTCTGTTGCTTTATATCTGTGGGGCAGAAATAAAACCATACACTTGTGTTGTGTGTTTTCCATATCAGAGTTTTATATTAAAATAAAAAGGTAAAAATCAAAACAAACAAAATAAACACATCGAGGACAACAGGTCAACTGATGCTGAAACAAATTAAAATAGAGACTGGGCCTGAAGAATCTCTTAGATGAAAAACAAAGTTAGGCCTCATAAGTAACTTCAATCTTGCTTGATTTGCAAACATAAGCAAAACTAACTTGAGCTACTTCTTCTAATGTTTATATCACAGAAAAACAGAATGTATATCAACCAATCAGAAGCAGTTAAGGAACTTACATAATTAAGATTTTCCAATGGGATAGATCAAATGAGACAACTGTATAATTGTAACCAGTCAAATACAATTTGCTTTATTTCTATGTGTGTTTTATAAAATTCTCCCCATTGTTTTCCCTAGGAAAATTAGAAATGTGGAAGTCACTGAAGACCTTGACAAAAGCAAGATCAATGGAGCAGACAGATTGAAATCTGGAGTAGTTTAGGGCTTCCTGAAGAACCACACAGCCTCATGAGCTGCCGGGCAGTGTGTTTCCATGGGAGTGTTGTGAGTGTTGGATGTCTGCAGAGTCCCTTGAATTTACCTCGAATTCAGTTCCCAGATGATCAGGTGCTTCACATCTTGAGGGGGCAGTCCTCCATCATCTTGGGATTTCATCCTGGGACATAGAGTGTGAGCAGCAATACATTAACATACAGGTGAGGATACAACCTGGTGAGGGGTGGATACAGTCCTGCAACTTCACCTGCAAAGAAATGAAGACAGATGACACAGAAGGTGCTTCCAACTCCATCCCTGCATTCCCTTAATTGCACAAGCAGTCAGCATCAGGGTTCGGTATTCAGGTGGGAGTGCTCCAATGTGCAAGCAACATTTGGAGTGCAAATTGAGGCCATCCTGGCAAATACCCTATTTGAGGGCTTTCATGTCCAGAGCCAAATGGGAGTGGAATGCATTGATGCTGGGTGGGATGTGGCCTCCAGACTTGCCTCTTCTTTTCCTTACTTCCGTGCTCCTCACTAGCCTAGGGTTTCCTGGTTCTGGCTCAAAAACTTCCACACTAAACATTTCCCACTTCACAGACAATGAGCCTCATGGAAATCCATTGTGTGAGTGTTTTCTTCTTAACACTGTCACATTTTAATGACTGGGCTGCTTTGACACTTTTAAAACCATAAATTCTCACTACAGCCGCAAACAAGGAAACTCCTGTTTTCTCACTTCTATCAAATGGCTGCATGATTCCTGTAGGATGAGAGGCAGGCACCCGCGTCTTGCTTTTGCCTGGTAATCTAGCCAGCCCCTGTTTTATTTCATCTGCATGGCCTTCTCATTGTGGAAGTGTTCTTTCTTTGGGCTGTTGCTCGGTGGGACTGCCTCTTATCATAGATTATTTAGCTGACAGGGATTGCAGAGAGCAAAAGGGAATTTGGGTAGGCTGGCTGCACTTCAGGTTGTGGGTCATTCTCTCACTGTGGGTGCTGAGGTTATTTGCACTTTGCAGGAGGCTATTGGGTCCTCTGACAGGAATCATTGAACATTGCTTGGACTCCAGCCCAAGGCAGATCATTCTCTTGGGCAAGCCTTAATTTCTCTTTGCTTTCATAGAAAATCCTCAGTGACCCTCAACAGCACCACTGGACACCCTTTTCAGGCTTGCCGTCACCACAGACGGCCTCTGAGACACCTTCTCAACCTCATCTGCACCCATGAGATGCCAGTCTGAGGTTTGAGAATACTGCTTCACCTTGGCCTTGCCTTTGTCGTGGTTCCTGCCTTTCCCGGAGAGCCCCTGTGCGACCCAGGATGAACGGAGGCAGTGAGGTCAAGAGCCTGGCCATATTTTGATGACGCCCGCCTCTGGGGTCTCAGGTATGATTCTATCACCCAAAGAACCCTCAACAATACACCAGACTATATTCCAATCCCCATGGACCCAATTCTTGCACACAACCTCTTTCAATAATGGAGTCAGAAGAGCATTTCTCAGCCATGACCTCAGAGTGGCGAAACGGCTCGACCTCCAGCGCGACCGGACCATGGAGATGACACGAAGGGGCCCTAAATTTGAGACTTTCAGGGTCTCTCAGTGGGTTTTCGCAGACAGCCTTTTCCCCAATATCAGTCAGGCTCTGCCTGTCATTTTCCTCTGCATAGACAGGCTGACAGTTCTGAAAGCCTTGCGCGGGAGCCTCCATCGCGAATGCACATGCGCTAGTCTTAGGGCACAGGGCCTGAGCTGTGAGCTCTGGTTAACGTCACAATAAATGCCTCCTTTCCCTAGCCGCAAGTCCCTGTGGCTTGGCCGAGAAGGAGACCTCCGTGGGGGTGCGATAGCGGTGGTCTCTCGCCTGTCTTCTCTGTAGGACCCACGGGATAGTCCCATGATCCTAAGAGAAGGCAGACATGAGCCAGCCTGAAGAAACCTCAAGGAGAGCCCCAAGAGTAAATCACGAAATCCCTAAGAATCCAAAAGGATCTGCAGGACGCCTCAGGCCTGCCTACACGTTGTAGGGGTGAGTCTTTTTGAAACTTGCCCAACTGTTATTTCTAAGTACAGCCCACCTGTATTCCTCGAAGTTGCTGTCTCCGAGGTGGGGCTGTCTGCAGAACCAGGCAGCCTCAGAACCTACCGGGCTGTGCGTTTCTGTGGTAGTGTTGTAATTGTTGGATATCTGCCTGTGCGAGTGGCTGTGTGTGTGTGTGTTTTGTGTGTGTGTGTTTGTGTGTGTCTGTATGTGTATGCCTGTAAGTGGAGTCTGCTTTAAAAAAATGTGCCTAAAGCACTTCAGCCCTTCATTTTTTTGATTCTCCCAAACTTTTGGTGGGTTGTCTCTGTGGCTCTCCTTGGGCTGTAGAGCCTTGTGTTTTTTGTTCTTCTGTGGATCATGAATTTATAGTGAATTGGGAGATTGACTGAGACCTGCCAGGGTCCAAATCACCTTCCCCTGCAACAGAAGCCACTTTTCCAGAAAGAAGAGGAGCACACCACACCCATGAACAGACATCTAGTGTTTCATTGTCCTGTGGCAAACCCAGGGATGGATACTAACATTCCTATCCTCAGGGCCCATTGAGTTTACATCAAATTCAGTTCTCAGCTGAGTAGGAGCTTCACGTCATCAGGGGGCACTCCTCTATCATCTTGAGATTTCATTCTGGGACACAGTGTGAGCAACAGTAAGGTCGGTTAGGGGTGTGCATGCAATCTGAGAAAAAGTAAAGGCAGATTACACAGAAGTACTTCCAACTGCATCCCCACATTCTCTTAACTGCACAGGCAGTCCACACCATGGCCTGGTGTTCAGGTGGGAGTACTCCAACATGCAGGGAATATTTGGAGTGCAAACTGGGGCCATCCTGGCAAACTCCCAATTTGAGGGCTTTCATACTGGGAGCCTAGGCCTGGCTCAATGTCTTCCACACTAAACGTATCCCAGTTCACCAAGGATGACCCTAATGAGAATCCATTGTGTGAATGTTTCCTTCTAAACATTGTCACGCTTTAATGACTGGACAGCTGTGATATTTTAAAACTGTAAATTCCCATTACAGCCACCAACAGGAAAACTCTTGTTCTCCCACTTCTATCAGAGGGCTGCATGATTCCTGTAGGATGAAAAGGAGGCAGCCATGTCTGGCATTTGCCTGGTAATCTAGGCTCTGTTTTATTGTACCTGCATGCCACTGCTCATTGTGGAGTGGGAGTTTCATTGGGCTGTTGCTGTATGGGACTGCCTCTCGCCACAGATCTTTTAGCTGCCAGGGACTTCAGGGAGCAAAGGAGACTTCAGGTAAGCTGGCTGCACTCCAGGTTGTGGATTGTGGTCTCATTTTGGATACTGAGGTTGTTTGCACTTTGCAGGTGGCTTTTGGGTCCTCTGAAAGAAATCTTTCAGTATTGCTTGGACTTCAGCACAAGTCAGTTGTTTCTCTCACCCAAGCCTTGATTTTCCTTCGCTTTCATGGAAGATACACATTGCCCCTAAACAGCATTACTGCACACCCTTTTCAGGCTTACAATTGCCACAAATGGCCTCTGAGACACTGTCTCAACCTCATCTGCACCCATGAGAGGCCAGTTGGAGGTGTGAGAACACTGCTCCACCGTGGACTTGCCTTTGTCATGGTTCCTGCCTTTCCCAGAGAGCACCTGGAGGCCCAGGATGAAGTCAGGCAGTGACGTCCAGGGCACAGCCATCTTTTGTTGACACCTGCCTCTGGGGTCTCAGGTATGATTCCATGAACCAGAGACCCCTCAACAACTCACCAGACTATATTCCAATCACCATGGGACCGGATTTCTGCACTCTTTCAGGGATGAAGTCAGAAGTGCAGTTTCCAGTGACCAGTTCACAGTCTTGAAATGCCTCCTCCTTCAAGTGAAACCTGACCAACAAGATGGCCTGAAGAAAACCTATGGTTGAGACTTTCAGGGTCTCTCAGTGGATTATCTCAGACAGCCATTTTCCCAACACCAGGTCAGCTCTGCCTGTACCATTTTTCTCTGCTTAGGCATGCTGACAGCTGGGCTGCTGAGCCTGTGACAAGAATGCAAATGCACTAGTCTCCTGGCACCAGGCCAGAGCTGTGAGCTCTGGCAAGCATCACAATGAATGACAGCATTGCCTAGCAACAAGTCCCTGAGGCTTGGTGGAGAAGGCGATCTCTGTGTATGTGAGTCGGCAGTGAACTTTCACCTGTCTTCTCTGTGGGATCCACAGGATAGTCCCATTATCCTTGGAGAGAGCATATGTGAGACATCATGAAGAAAGGTCAAACAGAGCCCCAGGAATAATCTGCAAAATCCCTAAGGATCCAAAATAATCTGCAGGATGCCTCAGACCTGCCTAGATGTTGTACGGGTGAATCTTTTTGAAATTTGCCCTGTATGATTTCTTGGTACAGCCCTCCTGTGTTACTTGGTGTTGTTCTCTCCCAGGTTGGGATTCCTGCAGAACCACCCAGCCTCAGAACCTGTAGGCCTGTAGTTTCTGTGAGAGTGTTGTAAGTTTGGATGTCTGCACGTGTGTGTGGCTTTGTGTGATGTGTGTGTGTGTGTTTTAAATGGAGTCTAATTAAATAAATTAGGCTAACACACTGCAGTGCTTTTTTTTGTCTCTCAACCTTTTGGTAGCTTGTTTCTGTGGTTCTGCCTGGGCTGTGGGGCTCTGTATTCTTTATTTTTCTGTGGATCAAGAATCTGCAGTGATTTGGGAGGCTGGCTGTGACCTGCTATGGTCCAAATCTCCCCCACCTGCAAAAAAAAAGTCACTCTTCTCAAAAGAAGAGGAGCACACCTCACCCAAGAAGCAACATTGCCCAGTCTTTCATTGTCCCATGGCCAACCCAGGAAGAGACACTAGCAGTCCTGATGGCAGGGCCCCTTGAATTTACCAGGAATTTGGTTCGCAGTAGAGCAGGTGCTTCATGTTGTGAGGGTGCACTCCACTATCATCTTGGGATTTTATTCTGGGACAAACAGTGTGAGCAGCAATAAGGTCAGATGGGGTGAGGATATAATCTGGTGAGGTTTGGATGCAGACCTGCACCTTCACCTGCAAAAACAGTGAAGATCTGATGGCACAGAGCATGCTTCCAACAGCATCCCCACATTTGCTTAATTGCACAAGCCATCCACGTCATGGCCTGGGAGTACTTCTGCATGCAGGGAACATTTGGAGTGCATACTTGGCCATCCTGGCAAACTCCTGATTTCAGGGCTGTCATAGCCAGAACTAAAAGGGTATGGGATGGATTGATGCTGGGTGGGATGTGGCCTTCACACTTGCCTCCTCTTCTCCTGACTTCCGTTTCCCCCACTGGCCTAGGTTTTCCTGGGTCTGTCTAAATGTCTACCACAATAGAGGCTTCCCAATTCATGGAGGATGACCCTCATTTGAATCCATTGTGTGAGTGTTTCCTTCTAAACACTGTCACGTTTTAATGACTGGCCAGCTTTGATACTTTTAAAATTGTAAATGTCAGTTAGAGCCACAAACAAGGAAACTCCTATTCTCCCACTTTTTTCAGAGGGCTGCAAGATTCCTGTATGATGAGAAGCAGGCCACTGTGTCTGGTGTTGCCTGGTAATCTAGCCTCTGTTTCAATTCATCTTCAAGTCCTTTCTCATTGTGGAGGGGCTCTTTCATTGGGTTGTTGCTGCATTGCATTGCCTCTCACCCCAGATCTTTTGGCTGCCAGGGATTTCAGGGAGCAAAAGGGACTTGGGGTAGGCTGGCTGCACTCCAGGTTGTGGACCATTGTCTCATAGTGGGGGCTGAGGTTGTTTGCCCTTTGCAGGAGGCTTCTGACAGGCGTCATTGAACAATGTGTGGACTCCAGCACAAGGCATCTCGTTCTCTCAGGTGAGCCTCTATTTTTCTTTGCTTTCTTGGGGAATCCACAGTGACACACAGTGACACTACTGGACACCATTTCCAGGCTTGCCATCACCACAGACAGCCTCTGATAGACTGTCTCCACCTCATCTGCACCTATGAGAGGCCAGTCTGAGGAATGAGAACACTGCTTCACCTTGGACTTCCCTTTGTCGTGATTCCTGCCTTTCCCAGAGAGCCCCTGCAAGGCTTAGGATGAAGGGAGGCAGTGAGGGCAAGAGCCCAGCCATCTGTCACTGACACCTGCCTCTGGGGTCTCAGGTATGATTCTGTTACTCAGAGAACCCACAACAACACAACAGAATATATTCCAATCCCCATGGACCTGATTCTTGCACACAGCCTCTTTCAAGAATGGAGTCAGAAGTGCAGTTTCCAGTGACCACATCACACTGTAGAAATGCCTTCTCTCCAGTAGGACCCAACCATGGAGATGGCATGAAGGGTCCCTGAGTTCAAGACTTTTAGCATCTTGCAGTGGGTTTTGACAGGGAGCCATTTTTACAATACCAGGCTCATTCTGCCTGTACCATTTTCCACTGCTGAGGCAGGCTTATAGCTCTGAGAGCCTGGCACCAGAGCCTGACTCACGAATATGCATGTGCCAGTCTTAGGGCACCAGGCCTGATTGTGAGCTCTGGCTAGCATCAAAACAAATGTCACTGCTGCCTAGGGACAAGCCTCTGAAGCTTGACAGAGAAGGAGACCTCCGTGGCGGTGAGTCGGCGGTGGACTCTCACCTGTCTTCTCTGTGGGATACGTGGGATATTCCCATAATCCTAGGAGAGGGCAGGCATGAAGCAGCCTGAAAAAACATCAAGCACAGTCTTAGGAATAAACCATGAAATCCATAAGGATCCAAAATTATCTGCGGGATTCCTCAGGCCTGCCTAGTCTTTGTAGGGGTGAGTGTTTTTGAAACTTGCTCCACTATGATTTCTAGGTACAGCACACCTGTGTTCCCTGGGGTTGTTCTCTCCCTGGTATGGCTTCCTGCAGACCTCACAGCCTCAGCAGCTGCCAGGTTGTGAATTTCTCTGGAATTATTTTGAGTGTTGGATGTCTGCGTGTGTGTGTGTGTGTGTGTGTGTGGCATTATGTGTTTGTGAGTGCTTATGTGTGTGGGTGTGTTTGCCTGTAAGTGGAGCCTGCTTAAAGGAATATGGCTAATGCACTTCAGCACTGCTTCTGCTTCTTCTTCTTCTTCTTCTTCTTCTTCTTCTTCTTCTTCTTCTTCTTCTTCTTCTTCTTCTTCTTCTTTTCTTCTTCTTCTTTTTGTGAGTCTCCAAACCTTTTGGTTGCCAGTCTGTGTGGCTCTGCTTGGACTGCAGGGCTCCATGTTCTTTATTTTTCTGTGGATCTGAATCTGCAGTGAATTGGGAGCCAGGCTGAATCCCACCAGCTTTCAAATTGCATCCCCCTGCATAATAAAACCACTCTTCTAGAAAGAAGAGGAGCCCACCACATGAAAAAACAGACATCTCCCAGTGTTTCATTGTCCTGTGGCCCACCCAGGGAGAAACACTAACAGTCCTGTCTGCAGTGCCCCTTGAATTTAACTCGAATTCGGTTCCCAGGAGATCAGGTGTTTCACATCATGAGGGGACACTTCTCCATCATCTTCGGATTTCATTCTGGGACATAGAGTGTGAGACACAATAAGTTCAGAAAGGGGTGAAGATACAGATTGGTGAAGGGTGGATGGGGTCCTGCAACTTCACCTGCAAAATGATTGAAGACTGATGTCACAGAAGTTGCTTCCAGCTCCATCCCTGTATTCCATTAATTGCACAAGCAGTCCACACCATGGCCCGGTGTTCAGGTGAGAGTATTCCAACATGCAAGGAATATTTGGAGTGCAAATTGAGGCCATCCTGGTACACTCCCGATTTGAGAGCTTTCATACCCAGAGCCAAATGGGAATGGAATGGATTGATGCTGGGTGAGATGTGGCCTCCATAGTTGCCTCTTCTTTTCCTGACTTCTATGTTTCTTGTAGGCCTAGTGTTTCCTGGTTATGGCTTAAAGACTTCCACAGTAAACCTTTCCCATTTCATGGAGAATGATCCTCATGGGAATCCACTGTGTGAGAGTTTCCTTCTAAACACTGTCAGTTTTAATGACTGGGCAGATTTGATAATTTTAAAACCATAAATTTCCATTACATCCACCAGCAAGGACACTTTTGTTCTCCCACTTCTAACAGAGGGCTGCATGATTTCTGCAGGATGAAAAGCAGGCAGCTTTGTCGGCTTTTGCCTCGTAATCTGGCACCTTTTTCACTTCATTTGCATGGCCTTTTCATTGTGGAGGGGCTCCTTCACTGGGCTGTTGCTGCTTGGAACTGCCTCTCCCAGAGATCATTAAGCTGCCAGAAATTTCAGAGAGCAAAAGGGACTTCCGGTAGGTTGGCTGTGCTCCATGTTGTGGGTTGTTGTCCCCTTGTGGGGACTGAGGTTTTTTGCACTTTGCAGGAAGCTTTTGGGTCCTCTGACAAGAGTCTTTGAACATTGCTTGGATTCCACCATAAGGTAGCTCTTTCTCTCAGTTGAGCCTTGATTTTTCTTTGCTTTCAAGGGGAATACACAGTGCCCCTTAGCAACACTACCGGACACACTTTCAGACTTGGCACCACCACACACGTCTCCAAGATACTCTCTCAACCTCATCTGCACCCGCAAGAAGCCAGTCTGAGGTGTGAGAATACGGCCCCACCTTGGACATCCCTTGTCGTAGTATTTGCCTTTCCCAGAGAGCTCCTATGAGGCTCAGGATGAAAGGCAGCAGTGAGGTCAAGAGTCTGACCATCTTTCACTGGCACCAACCTCTGGGGTCTCAGGCATGTTTCCATCACCCAGAGAACCCTCAGAAACACACCAGACTATATTCCAATCCCCATGGGACCCTATTTTTGCACACAACCTCTTTGGAGAATAAAGTCAGAAGAGCAGTTTCCAGCGACCACCTCACAGTCTCAAAACGCCTCCTTCTCCAGTGGGATCCGACCACGGAGATGGCCCAAGGGGTCCTGAGGTCGAGGATTTTGGTGCCCCACAGTGGGTGTTTGCAGGCATCCTTTATTTCAATACCAGGCCGGCTCTGCCTGTACATTTTCCTGTGCTTAGGCAGCCTGACAGTTGTGCTATCCTGGAGGCCTTCCCTGCCTCACGAATGCGCATGCGCTAGACTCAAGGAAGCAGTCCTGATTATGAGCCCTTGCTTGCGTCAAAACGAATGTCACAGTTGCCTAACTACAAGTCCCTGCAGCTTTGCGGCAAAGGAGACCTCCGTGGAGGTGCGTTGGCAGTGGGCTTTTGCGTCTTGTCTGTTGGATTCACCAGATAGTCCCATGATCCTAAGAGAGGGCAGACGTCAGCCAGCCTGAAGAAACCTCAAGCACAACCCCAGGAATAAATTGAGAAATCCTGAGAATCCAAAAGGATCTGCAGAATTCCTCAGGCCTGGGTGGACTTTGTAGGGGTGGGTCTTTTTGAAACTTGCCCCACTGTGATTTCTAGATACAGCCCACCTGTGTTCCGCGAGTTTGCTCTCTCCCAGGTGGGGCTTCCTGCAGAAGCACGCATCCTTGGGAGCTGCTGGACTGTGTGTTTCTCTGGGAGACTTGCAAGTGTTAGATGTTTGACTGTGTGTATGTGTATGTGTGTGCGTGTGTGTATGTGCCGGTAAGTGGAGTCTGTTTAAAGGAATGAGGCTAACACACTTAAGCACCCTTTTTTTTTTTTTTTTTTTTTTTTAGTCTCCCAACCTAGTGTTGTCCTGTCTGTGTGGCTCTGCTTGGGCCGCGGGGCTTTTCTTTATTTTTCTGTGGATCGTGAATCTGCAGCAAATTGGTAGGTGTGCCATGACCCGCTGGCGTCCAAATCACCTCTGCCAGCAGAACAACAACAAACACTTTTCCTTTCTAGAAAGAAGAGGAGCACACCACACCATAAAACAGGTCTCCCAGTGTTCCATTGTCCTGCAGCCAACCCAGAGAGAGACACTAGCAGTCTTTTCCACAGGGAAACACACAAAGCCACACACAGATGCAGACATCCAAAACTTACAACACTCTGACAGAAAAACACAGCCCGGCATCTCCTGAGGCTGCGTGGTTCTGCAGGAAGCTTCACCTGGGAGAGAGTAACCTTGGGGAACTCATGCAGGCTGTATCTAGAAAACACAGTGGGACGATTTTCAAAAAGACTCACCCCTGCAACGTCTAGGTAGGCCTGAGGCATCCTGCAGATCCTTTTGGACACTTAGAGATTTCGCAGTGAATTCCTGAGGCTGTGCTTGAAGTTTCCTTAAGCTGGCTGAGGTCAGCATTCTCCTAGCATCATGAGATTATGCTGAGGGTCCCACAAACAGTACAAGCGAAAGTCTGTGGCCGACCCACCTCCGCAGATGTTTCCTTCTCCGCTAAGCCACAGGGACTTGTCTCTAGGCAATGGTGGCATTCATTGAGACATCAGCCAGAGCTCACAGTTCAGGTCTGGTGCCCTGAGACTAGCGCATGCGCATTCACGAGGCAAGGTTGGGCGCCCGGCTGTCAGAGCTGTCAGCCTGCCTAACCAGAGGAAAATGGTACAGCCAGAGCCGGCCTGTTATGGGAAAAAAGGCTGACTGCAGTAACCCACTGTGGGACACTAAAAGCGTCGACCTCAGAGCTCCGTCGGGTCGTCTCCGTGGTCTGGTCTCGCTGAAGGAGGACACATTTTGAGACTGTGAGGAGGACGCGGGAAACTGCTTTTCTCACTCCATGGCTGAAAGAGGCTGTGTGTAAGAATCAAGTCCCATGGGAATTGGAATATAGTCTGGTGAGTTTCTGGGGGTCTTCGGGTGATGGAATCACACCTGAGACCCCAGAGGCGGGTGTCTGTGGAAGATGGCCGGGCCCTTGATCTCACTGCCTCCGTTCATCCTGCCCTCACAGGGGCTCTTGGGGAAAGGCTGGAACCATGACAAAAGGAGGTTCAAGTTGAAGAAGTGTTCTCACACCTCGAACTGACCTCTCACGGGTGCAAATGAGGTTGAGACAGTGTCTCAGAGGCCGTTTGTGGAGATTGCAAGCCTGGAATGTTGTCCAGTAGCGCTGTTGAGGGGCGATGTGGACTCCCCAGAGAAAGCAAAGAAAAATCAAAGCTCGCCTGAGAGAATGAGCTGACTAGTGCTGGAGACACAGCAATGTTAAAAGATTTCTGTCAGAAGACCCTAAAGCCCCTGGCAAAGTGCAAACAAACTTGGCCCCCAAAATGAGACCACCACCCACAACCTGGAGTGTAGCCAGCCTACCTAAAGTCTGTTTTGCTCCCTGAAATTACTGGCAGCCAAAAGATGTGTGGCGATAGGCAGTCCCACTCAGCAAGACCACAATGAAAGATCCACTCAGCAATGAGAAGAGCCTGCAGATGAAAAGAAACAGAAGCTAGATGACCAGGCAAAAGCCAAACACGGCTGCCTACTTCTCATCCTACAGGAATCATGCAGCCTTCCGAAAGAAGTGAAAGAACAAGAGTTTCCTTGTTGGCAGCTGTAAAGGCAATTTGCAGGTTTAAATTATCAATGAGGCCCAGTCATTAAAACCTCACAGGGTTTAGAAGAAAACACTCATGCAATGGATTCCCGTGAGGGTGGTTCTCGAGAATTGGGAAAATTTAGTGTGGAAGTCATTGGGTGGAGATCCAGGAAACCCTAGGCCAATGAGGAACATGGAAGTCAAGAAAAGAAGAGGCCAGTTTGGAGGCCACACCCCTCCCAGTATTAACCCATTCCAGTTCCATTTGGCTATGGGTATGAAAAACATACATCCAGACTTTGCCAGGATGGGCCCAATTTGCACTCAAAATGTTCCCTGCCTGTTGGATTACTTCCACCTGAACACCAGGTCATGGTTGGACTGCTTGTGCAATTAACAGAATAGGGGGATGGGGTTGGAAGCACCTTCTGTGTCATCTGTCTTCATATTTTTTTTGCAGTTGAAATTGCAGGACCCATCCACTCCTCACCAGATTGTATTCTCATCCCTATCTGACCTTATTTCTGCTCACACTCTATGTCCCAGGATGAAATCCCAAGACAATTGAGGAGTGCCCCTTTAACCTGAAGTACCTGCTCAGCTAGAAACCGAATTCAAGGTAAATTCAATTGGTCCTGAGGACAGGACTGCTAGTGTCCCTTGCTGGGTTGACCGTAGGACAATGAGACACTGGGAGATGTCTGTTTTTTGGTGTGTTGGTGTGGTGTGTTCCTCTTCTTTCTAGAAGAGTGTTTTGTTTTGTTTTTTTGCAGGGGAAGGTGATTTAGACACTGCGTATTCATGATCCACAGAAAAATAAAAAAACATGGAGCCCCAGAGCCCAAGCAGAGCCAAACAGACAAGCAACCAAAATAAAAGGTGAGGGACTCAAATAAAGAGGATTGAAGTGTGTTAGCCACACTCTTTTAAGCAGACTCCATTTGCAGGCACACAGACACAAACACACAATGCCACACACACACACACACACACAGAAATCCTACACTCACAACACTCCCAAAGGAACACAGAACCTGACAGCTTCTGAGGCTGCATGTTTCTGCAGGAAGCCCTACCTGGGAGAGAGCAATCCCAGGGAACACAGGTGGGTTTTACCTAAAAATATCAGAGGGGCAAGTTTCAAAAAGACTCACCCCTAAAACATCTAGACAGGCCTGAGGAATCCTGCAGATGCTTTTGGATCCTTAGGGATTTTGCAGTTTATTCCTAGGGCTCTGCTTGACATTTCTTCAGGCTCGCTCACATCTGCCATCTCATAGGATCATGAGATTATTCTGTGGATCCCACAGAGAAGACAGGCAAAGAGTGCACCACCAACGCACCTCCACAGAGGTCTCCTCTGGAGTCCAAAATCAGGAATGGTTCCCTGAGCTTAGCTCATGAACATTCGTGAGGCAGGCTCTGGTGCCCAGATGTCAGAGCTCTCAGCCTGACTAAGCAGAGGAAAATGATACAGGCAGAGACGCCTTGGTATCAGGAAAAATGATGCCTATGAAAACCCACTGTGAGACTCTAAAAGTCTCAACCTCAGGGCCCCTTTGGGTCATCTCCATAGTTGGGTCCCACTGGAGGAGGAGGCACTTCAGGACTGTGAGGTGGTCGCTGGAAACTACTCTTCTGGCTCTATTCCTGAAAGAGGCTGTGCATAAGAATTAGGTCCCATGGAGATTGGAATAGAATCTGTTGTGTTGTTGGGGTTCTTTGGGTGATAGAATTATACCTGAAAGCCCAGAGGTGAGCATCAGTGAGAGATGCCCGAGCTTGACCTCATGGCCTCCCTTCACCCTAGGCCTCACAGGGGCCCTCTGGAAAAGTCAGGAACCATGACCGAGGAAAGCCCAAGGTGGAGCAGTTGTCTCACACCTCAGACTGGTCTCTTCTTGGTGCAGATGATGTTGACACAGTGTCTCAGAGGCCATCTGTGGTGATAGTAAGCCTGAAAATTGTGTCCAGCAGTGCTGTTAAGGGGCATTGTGGGTTTTCCATGAAAGCAAGAAAAAAACAAGGCTTGCCTGAGGAAACGAGCTGCCTTGTGCTGGAGTCCAAGCAATGTTCAGTGATTTCTGTCAGGGGACCCAAAATCCTACTGTAAAGTTCAAGCAACTTCAGCCCCCAAAATGTGACCATAGACCAAAATGTGGAGCACAGTAAGCCTATTCGAAGTCCCTTTTGCTCTCTGAAACCCTGATAAGCTATACAATCTGTAGTGAGAGGCAGTCCCATCCAGCAACAGCTCAATGAATGAGCCCCTCCACAGTGAGAGAGCCATGCAGATTTAATGAAACAGAGCCTCGATTGCCCGGTAAAATGTACACACAGCTGCCTTCTTCTCCTCCTACAGGAATCATGCAGGCCTCTGATAGAAGTGGTAGAATAAGAGTTTCCTTGTTGGTGGCTGAAATGGGAATTTATTGTTTTAAAGTATCAAAACTGTCCAGTCATTAAAACGTGACAGTGTTTGGAAGAAAACGCTCATGCAGTGGATTCCACTGAGGGTCATTCACCAGCAACAGGCAAACGTTTAGTGTGGAAGTCATTTAGCCAGACCCAGGAAACCCTAGGCTGACCAGGAACATGGAAGTCAGGAAAAGAAGGGGGAAGTATGGAGGCCACATCCCACCCAGCATCAATCCATTCCACTGCCATTTGGCTCTAGGTATGAAAGCCCTTAAATCAGGAGTTTGCCAGGATGGTGTCAATTTGCACTCCACATGTTCCTTGCACGTAGGAGTTCTGCCACCTGAACTCCTGGCTATGTTGTGGACTGCTTGTGCAATTAAGGGAATGCGGGCATAGAATTGGAAACACCTTCTGTGTCATCTGTCTTTATCTTTTTGCAGGTGAAGTTGCGGGACCCCTTCCCCTTGTCACCAGATTATATCCTCACCTTTATCTGACCTTATTTCTGCTCATATTCTATGTCCCAGGATGAAATCCCAAAACGAGGGAGGAGTGTCCCCTCACAATGTATAGCGCCTGATCAGCTGGGAACTGAATTTGACGTAAATATAGGGGCCCTGAGGACTAGACTGCTAGTTTCTCTACCTGGGTTGGCTGCAGGAAAATGAAACATCGGGAAATGTCTGTTTTTTTGGTATGGTGTGCTCCTCTTCTTTCTAGAAGAGTGGCTTTTATTGTACGGGGAGATACCTTGGTTGCCGGCAGGCTTGGCCCGCCTCCAAAATCACTGAGGATTCATGATTCACAGAAAAATAAATAACACAAGCCTGACAGCCCAAAAGAGCCACAGAGACAGGCCACCAAAAGGTTAATATACTAAAAAAATAAAAAAACACTGAAGTGCTTTAGCCACATTCCTTTAAGCAGACTCCACTTAACGGCACACACACACACAGATACACAAACACACAATAACACACACACAGGCAGACATCCAACATTTGCAACACTCCCACAAAAACACATAGCCTGTCAGCTCCTCAGGCTGCAGGATTATGCAGGAAGCCCCATCTGAGACAAAGTAACTCCAAGGAAAAGAGATGGGCTGTACCTAAAAATCACAGTTAAGACAAGTTCCAAAAAGACACCCTTCCAACATCTAGACAGCATGCAGATGTTTTTTGATCCTTAGGGATTTGGCAGCTTATTCCTGGGGCTCTTCTTGATGTTTCTTCAGGCTGGCTCACATCCTCCCTATCCTAGGATTATGGGACTATCCTGTGGATCTCACAGAGTAGACAGGTGAGAGACCTCAGCCGACGAACCTCCATGGAGGTCTCCTCCTTGGGAGTCTTCTCCACAAAGCCGCGGGGACTTGTCGCTAGGCAACAGTGACATTCACTGTGACTCTAGACAGAGTTCACACTCAGGACTGGTGCCCTGAGACTAGCTTATGTGGATTCCTGAGACAGGCTTATGTGTCCTGCTGTAACAGCATTCAGCCTGCCTAAGCAGAGGAAAATGGTACAGTCGGAGCTGGCCTGGTATCAAGAAAAAGGCTGCCTGTGAAGACCCATGGCAGGACAATAAAAGCCTCGACCTCAGGGCTCATTTGGACCATCTCTGTGGTTGTGTCCTGATGGAGGATGAGGTGTTTCAAGACTCTGAGGTGGTCACTGAAAACTGCCCTTTGAAATCCATTCCCAAAAGAGAATGTGTGTCTGCAAGAATCGGGTCCCATGGTGATTGGCATATAGTCTGTCTGGTGTGTTGTTGATGGTTCTTTGGGTCATAGCATCATACCTGAGACCCCAGAGGCATTTTTTAGCAAAGATGTCTGGGCTCTTGACCTCACTACCTCCATCATCCTATGCCTAGCAGGGGCTCTCTGAGAAAGGCAGGAACCATGAAAAAGGCAAGTCAAAGTTTGAACCATATTCTCACACCTTGGACTGACCTCTTATGGGTGAAGATGAGGTAGAGACCATGTCTCAGAGGTCATCTTTGATGATGGCAAGCCTGAAAATGATGTCCAGTAGAGCTGTTGAAGGACACTGTGGATTTCCCATAAAAGCAAAGAAAAATCAATGCTCACCTGACAGAATGAGCTGCACTGAGCTGGAGTTTAAGCAATGTTCAATGCTTCTTGTCAGAGAACCCAAAAGCCTCCTGCAAATTGCAAACAACTTCAGCCCCCACCTGAGACAACAGATCGAAACTTGGAGTGCAGCCAGACTCCTCAAAGTCCCTTTTGCTCTTTGAAATCCTGGGAAGCAAAATAATCTTTGGTGAGAGGCAGTCCCATCCAGCCACAGCCCAATGAAAGAATACCTGCTCAATAAGATGACCATGCAGATGAAAAAAATCAGAGGCTAGACTACCAGGCAAAAGCCAGACAGGGCTGACTGCTTCTCACCCTACAGGAATCATGCAGAATGCCAATAGAAGTGAAAAAAAACAAGAGTTTCCTTGTTGGTGGCTATTTATGGTTTTAAAAGTATCAAAGCTGCCCAGTCATTAAATTGTGAAAGTGTTTAGAAGGAAACACTCATGCAATGGGTTCCCATTAGGGTCATTCTCTGTGAACTGAGAAACATGTATTGTGGAAGTCATTGAGCCAGACATAGGAAACCCTACACTGACAAGAAACATGGACATCAGAGAAAGAAGGGGCAAGTGTGGAGGCCACTTCCCATCTACCATCAAACCATTTCATTCCCATTTTGCTCCCAGTATGAAAGCCTGCAAATTGAGAGTTTGCCAGGATGACCCCAGTTTGCTCCCCAAATATTTCTTGCACATTGGAATACTTTCACCTGAACACTGGGCCATGGTGTGGACTGCTTGTGCAATTAAGGGAATGTTGGGATGGAGTTGGAAGTACCTTCTGTGTCATCTGTCTTTATTTTTTTGCAGTTGAAGTTGTGGGATCTCATCCAATTCCCACCAGATTGTATCCTCACCCCTGTCTGACCTTATTGTTGCTCACACTCTATGTCCCAAAATGAAAACCCAAGACGATGGAGTATTGCCCCCTTATGATGTGAACCAACTGCTTGGCTGGGACCTGAATTTGAGGTAAATTCAAGGGCCCTATGGACAGGACTGCTAGTGTATCTCCCTGCATTGTTTGCAGGACAATGAAACACTCAGAGATGACTGTTTTTTCATGTGGTGTGCTCCCCTTTTTTCTAAGAGTGGCTTTCTTTTGGAGTGGGAGATGAGTTTGACACTGGTGGGTCTCAGCCTGCCTCCCAATTCACTGGGGATTTATGATCCACAGAAAACTAAAGAACATGGAGCCCCACAGCCCAAGCAGTGCTGTACAGACAGGCCACCAAAAAGTTGGGAGACTCAAAAAAAAGAAGTGCTAAAATGTGTTAGCCACATTCCTTTAAGAATACTCCACTTATATTCTAACATGCACACACACAGACACACACACACGCAGACATCCAACACTCTCAATACTTTCACAGAAACACACAGGCTGGCAGCTCCTGAGGCTGTGTGGTTCTGCAGGAAGCCGCATTTGGGAAAGAGCAACCTCAGGGAACACAGCCAGTATACCTGGATATCACAGTAGAGCAATTTCAAAAAGACTCAACCCTACAAAGTCTAAACAGGTTTGAGGAATTCTGCAGATTGTTTTGTATTCTCATGGATTTCACAGTTTATTCCTAGGGCTCTGTTTGATGTTACTTCTGGCTGGCTCATGTCTGCCCTCTCCTGGGATCACGGGACTATCCCATGGATCCAACAGAGAAGACAGGTGAGAGTCCACTGCTGACACACCTCCACGGAGGTCTCTTTATCTGCCAAGCTGCAGGGACTTGTCGCTAGGCAAAGGTGGCATTCATTGTGAAGCTAGCCAGAGCTCACAATAAGGCCTGGTGCCCTGAGACTAGTGCATGCACATTAATGAGGCAGGCTTGGGCGTTGGCTCTCAGACCCGTCAGCCTGCCTAAGCAGAGGAAAATGGCAGAGGCAGAGTCAGTCTGGTATCAGGAAATAAGCTGCCTGTGAAACCCATTGCAGGACCCTAAAAGTCTCAACTTTGGGGGTTATTCAAGCCATCTCCATGGTTGTGTTCCACTGGAGGAGGAGGCATTTCAAGACCATGAAGTGGTCATGGAAACTGCTCTTCTGAGTCCGTTCCCAAAGGAGGCTGTGTGAAAGAATTGGGTCCCATAGGGATTGATATAAGTCTGGTGTGTTCTGGAGGGGTTTTTTGGGTGATAGCAGCAGATCTGAGATCCCAGAGGTGGGTGTCAGCAAAAGATGACCAGGCTCTTGACCTCTCTGCCTCCCTTCATCTGGGGCCTTGCATAGGCTCTCTGGGAAAGGCAGGAAGCAAGACAAGGCAAGTATAAGATCAACACTGTTCTCATACCTCGAACTTGCCCCTCATGGGTGCATATGAGGATGTGACACCATCTCAGAGGCTGTCTGTGGTGACGGCAAGCCTAAAAATGGTGTCCAGTAGTGCTGTTGAGGAGCACTGTGAATTCTCCATGAAAGCAAAGAAAAATCAAAGCTCACCTGAAACAACGAGATGCCTTTTGCCAGAGTCCAAGCAATGTTCAATGATTCCTGTCTGAGGACCCCAAAGACTCCTGCAAAGTGCAAACAACTTCAGCTCCCACAACATACAACAATCCACAATCTGGAGTGCAGCCATGTGACCCAAAGTCCCTTCTGCTCTCTGATATCTCTGGCAGCTAAATAATTGGTGGGAAGAGGCATTCCTATCCAGCAACAGAGCAATGCAAGAGCCCCTCCACTATGAGAAGGCTATGCAGATGAAATGAAACAGAGGCTAGTTTACCAGGCAAAAGCCAGACACAGCTGCAAGCTTCTCATCCTACAGGAATCTTGCAGCATTCCGACAGAAGTGGGAGAATAGGTGTTTCCTTGTTTGCTGCTGTAACAGGAATTAATGGTTGTTAAAGTACCAGAGCTGCCCAGTCAATAAAAATTGAGAATTTTTAGAAGAAAACGTTCATGCTATGGATTCCCATGAGGGTCATTCTCATGAACTGAGAAACATTTAGTGCGGAAGTCATTGAGCCAGACACAGGAAACCCTAGGCTGGAGAGAAACATGGAAGTCAGAAAAAGAAGAGGCAAGTGTAGAGGCCACATCCTACCCAGCACCAATCCATTCCACTCCCATTTGGCTCTGGGTATGAAAGTTCTCACATTGGGAGTTTGCCAGAATGGCCCCAATTTGCACTCCAAATATTCTTTGCACGTTGAAATACTCCCACCTGAATTCTGGGCCATAGTGTGGACTGCTTTTGAAATTAAGGGAATGTTGGGATGGAGTTAGAAGCACCTTTTGTGTCATCTGTCTTTATTTATTTATTTATTTATTTGCAGGTGAAGTTGCTGGAACCCATTCTCCATTCAGCAGATTGTATCCTCACCCCATGTGACCTTATTGCTGCTCAGACTCTATGTTCCAGGATAAAATCCCAAGAAGATGGAGAAGTGCATCCCTCATGATGTGAAGCATGTGCGCAGCTGGGAACCAAATTCGAGGTTAATCCAAGTGGCCTTGCAGACAGATCTGCTAGTGTCTCTCCCTGCGTTGTCCTCAAGATGAAGGAAACACTGAGAGATACCTGGTTTTTGGTGTGGTGTGCTCGTCTTCTAGAAGAGTGGTTTTTTTCTGCAGGGGGAGTTGATTTTGGATGCTAGCAGGTCTTGGCCCACCTCCAAATTCACTGGGGATTCAGGATCTACAGAAAAATAACACGGAACCATGCAGCCCAAGCATAGCCACACACACAGGCCACCAAAAGTTAGTGAGGCTAAAAACAAGAAGCACTGAAGTGTGTTAGCCCTATTCCTTTAAGCAGACCCCACTTACAGGCACACACACACACACAAAATGCCACACACACTCGACGTCAAACACTCGCAACACACCCACGGAAACACACAGCATGGCAGATCCCGAGGTTGCATGGTTCTGCAGGAGGCCCCACCTGAGAGACAGCAACCCCAGGGAACACAGGCAGGCTGTACCTAGAAATCACATTGGCGTAAGTTTCAAAACCCATACAACCTCTAGGGTGGCCTGAGGAATTCTGCAGATCCTTTTGGATCCTTAGAGATTTTGCAGTTTATTTGTGGGGCTGTGGTTGATGTTTCTTCAGGCTGACTCCCATAAGCCCTCTGATCATGGTTGATATTTCTTCAAGGCTGGCTCACATCTGCCTTCTCATAGGATCATGGGACTATCCTGTGGATCCCACAGAAAAGACAGGGGAGAGTCCACCGCCAATGCACCTCCGAGCAGGTCTCTTTCTCTGCCAAGCCGCAGGAACTTGTTGCTAGGCAACAGTGACATTATAAGGCTAGCCAGAACTCACCATCAGGCCTGGTGCCCTGAAACTAGCACATGCACATTCTTGGGGCAGGTTCAAGCACCCAGCTGTCAGAGATGTCAGCCTGCCTAGGCAGAAGAAAATGCACAGGCAAAGCTGGCCTCATATCGGGAAAATGGCTACCTGTGAAAACCCACTGTGAGACCCTAAACATCTCGACCTTAGGGACCCATGGGCAGCCTCCATGGTCTCGTCCCGCTGGAGGAGTACACATTTCAATACTGTTAGGTAGTGGCTGGAAACAGCTCTTCTGACTCTATTCCTGAAAGAGAATGTGTGTGCAAGGATCAGATCCCACGGGGATCAGGATATAGTCTGTTGTGTTGTTCAGTGTTCTTTGGATGATAGAATCATATCTAAGACCCCAGAGGCAGCTGTCAGCAAAAGATGGCCAGGCCGTTAATCTCACTGCCTCCCTTCATCCTGGGCCTCACAGGGGCTCTCTCAGATAAGCAAGAACCACAAGAAAGGCAAGTCCACGTTGGAGACATGTTCTCACACTTTGAACTGGCCTCTCATGGGTGCCGATGAGGTTGAGACAGTGTCTCAGAGGCTGTCTGTGGCAATTCCTTATACCCAGAGAGAAAAAAATCACTTGACAGAATTGTTGGGAAACCAGCCCCACACTGCCCAGCAGGTGCCCCGAGTCCAGCGAAGACAAAGGAATTAGAAAAAGACAGAATGAGAGTTTAAAAGGCAGGTCCAGGGGACCAGAGAATTGGAGTCTTGTTCATGGCCTGGAGCTCTCAGCCACCACCCAATTTATTGGTTTTCAAGCTTTTTGTTCATAGGGCAGATAGGAGGAGTAGAAAGGGATGAGGGGAAGGATTAATCAGTGAAGGAGAACTCGTGAGTCATTCAATAGGATGTATAGCAGTGGCGGTTTCTGTGAATTTCCTTGGGCAAAGGTGTGTGTCTAAACTACTTAATGTATTTAACTTATCGGGACTGAAATGGGTGGGACTAGGTTTCAGGAGAAGCCAAGACATTTGATTAGACTCCACTGCTTCAAGGGAGTGTTATTTCCCTGAGCAAGCTGCGGCATGCCGCTGAGCTGTTATGCTCTCCAGGCATAAGGGCATGAAGGCAGTAAGGAGACTTTTCTCCTCAGACGCCATCCATGGCTCCCCATGGGAGTCTCACACAGGGCAGACCAACTCATCTGGCATCCCAGAAACTCTCTTTTCCATATGTCCCACTTTTTTGTCCCCATTTTTTTTAAATTAATAACCACCATTGCTATCATAGCTCATTCACGGTGTCTGTCTTCTCTCCCAAGGTGCTGTCCGCAACTGTAGACTAAAAAAAAAAAAAAAAAAAAAAAAAAAAAGCAGAAACAGACACAAACCAAAATAATATTTGCAGTTGATGATCCACCTATGGTTTTAATTCACTTTAAAGGATTATTGTTAAAAAGGCCATCAGTGGCTCCAGCAAGAATATCAGCTCCAGGCAACAAGCTGGGATGAGCCTGAGATGCTGCAAAAAGTTGTTTTTTCCGTTTAGCAGGATCTAATGTTAAATTATCTTCTCCTGGTAGGCGATGTCTAATCAACTCCCAGTGGTGTTCAGTGGTATTATAAGAGCTAGGAGGAAACAAAAATCAGAAGTATTCCAATCACTTTGCATTTAAATTCTCTGCTCCAAGCTCATAATCTGACCACCCATTCAAATTACTGTTTGATGAAGATCATTAATTTGATTTGCCAATTTTTGATCTATTTGGCTTTGGGAATTCCAAAGCTTGGAAAAATTTTTCTGTCAACTATCCACAGAGCTCACAGTTTGAATAGAAGAATCCAAAGCTACAACAGCAGCAGCAGCTATAGCTGTGACCGCTATGAGGCCCGTGATGACAGCTATTAAGGTAAATATGAATCTCTTTGATCTATTAAGTATTTCTTTTAGTACTGCAGTGATAATATATATGGAGGAAGAGGCGTCCCAAGGTCTATTGAGGGAAACAGGTATCCAAACTCCTTCTCAGGCCCTAACCAGTAAAGTGCTGTTATCTTTATTAAAGGTAGAATTAATGCAGGTAAAAATATGACAGCTGAGGCATGATATGGTTTGAGAGTCAAGTAGGATATTAACTTTTCCTGCTGCTAACATAAAAGGAGGTTTAACACAACTCTGCAATGGGACTGTCTGATTAGAGATCATGGCTACAACAAATCAAAGATTTTCACTATGAGTCTCTGTTTTATATTCTCCTTTCCAAATCCCAACTGGGGTTTGAGCCATCATTAATTTCCACAATTCTGGATGTTCTGGTCTTGTAATTGGATCAATCATTTTTGGCCTTGGAGGAGCCATACCATTCTCCTCCCACTTAATAGGGCAGTTTGTTTCAATTCTTCTATATAATTTTAGTGCGTTATCTGGGAAGTCTTTTGCAAAGGAGTCTCTCCAAAATCTTTGCTGTGTCCGGTACAATTTATGGCAAAGTGACCTCTAGAGACCCAATCAGTGATGATTCCAATGGAATTATTTTGCAATACTGCAGCGCTGTTTGCAATACAATCTTCCCAGGTTAGCACCTCTAGATTTTCATTTAGTGGCCTGCCTGGGGCAGGACTTCAATAAGAAGGTTTAAGTTTATTAATCTGATGATGTGTCATAACATAGCCATGCTCAAGGTATTTAATAGTGTCCAAAGATTGAAATGTTCTTCCACTGATTACATGAATAGAGGCCTTTCATCCATTATGTTCAGGGACATAAACCATCCAACGTTGTTTATCATAATTTAAACATCCTGCTGCTGGCCCCAGGCAGATGGGAGGAAAGTGATAACCAATGGAAACTTTCATTAACATTCCTTCCTCCTCTGGATGAGTAGGACCTTGGTTATCTATTGGTCCAGGCATCCAGACACTATCATTAACATAACCTCCACTGGGGCATCTAAACTTATAACAGGCCTAATCAGTGGTGGGAATGCAATGTAGGTCCAGTAAGTGTAATTTTGATCTGCCCCTCTGCAGGGAGACTCACCACCAAGGGGATTACCACCATCGTAGCTACCATTAGATTACTGGTGGTCAGCAGCTTGTGCTGAGACCGCAGGTTCTCTTCTTCAGTGCGAGCTAGTCTCTTCATCCGCCCCCAGGTCGGTGGAGTTGCTTGGTAAGTTTTACTGGTTTCCATCTGCTCAACAGAGATGTTCATCTGAGCCATCTGATGAACTGGGGGTGTAGGGACTTTCTGAGGTCTTTTCCTCTTCCTTGAATTCTGGCTCCTGGCACAGCTTAAGATGTCTTGTGGGTACCCAGACAAGAAGTTGATTCTCTCCTGGTGAGATACAAGCAAATCCTCAATCCCAACAAGACCCACTGGGGCCTTTTGTTTGGGCCAGTTTTTGGGCCATTGATAAACGCTGTGATTGACACATCTGCTCCTGTGTCGACAAGAGCCTCAAATTGTTTTCCTTTAATAGTGACCTACAAATAGGACTATTGTCAGAGACTTGATTTACCCAATAGGCAGGCTTGCCTGCTGAATTTGTGCTTCTATATCCTCCTTTTATTCTGAGCTTTCTCCTATCTTAACATATGGTAAAAACAACAGTTGAGCTATTCTGTCACCTGGATTAGCACTCCAGGGAACAGTGGAGGAGATAACAATTTGAATTTCTCCCTGGCAATCAGAGCCCACTACCCCAGTATGTACTTGAATTCCCTTTAATTTTAAGCTGGACCTTCCAAGTATAAGTCCCACCATGTCCTTTGGCAATGGGCCGTAAACTCCCGTTGGGATCTTCCTGGGAGTCTCCCCAGGAAGGAGGGATACAGGTTCAGTACAGCATGTATTTACTGCCCCACTTTTATCTGTGGAGGGGGACAATTGCTCTGCATTTGTGCAGGGATAGACTGGGCTGGGAATACTCTGTTTGGGGTCAGGGATGACCCACCCTGAATTGGGAATGCCCTGTTTTGAATCAGGGCCTGGTCCTGAGTTTTGCCTTTTTTGGCTCTTTGTACACTCTCTTTTTGCATGTCCTATCTGTCCCCAATTATATCAAGATCCAGGGAACACTCATGTGTTTTTTGTTACCCTTAGTCCAGCCATTGCCTGAGAAAGGAGGTTGGCCTTATATAAGGGCTCCTCAATGCCATCACAGGCTGTAATATATTCACTTACAGTTTTTTCCTCATTTAGATCTGCCTTTACCTTAATAGATCTAATTTCTCCCTGACATTCTGTATTCATAGTTTCATAAGCAAGCAGCTGAATGATCACTTTCCTGGCACAAGAATTTGAAATAGTCTTTTGAGCAGCTTCTTGCAAATGGGGTGATAAAATCTGGATAAATCTTCCTTGGACCCTGTCAAACTGAGTTAAAAGAAGGATAAATAGTAACAGGGTCATGAATTTTTTTTCTGGTATCTTCAGTGTATAGTTCTGAGCTGATCAACAGACTCATCACCCATTACCATCTGTTGATTTACAGTACCCCATGCCTGCCCAATTCCAAGCAATTGATCAGATGTGATATTAATAGGAGGTTGGGCCTGAGCATTTCTCCCTGCCTGACTTGTTGCTTCATCTGTCCACCAGGTTTTAAATTGGAGAAATTGAGAGGGAGACAGGGTGGATCGAGCTAATGACTCCCAATCCATAGGTATTAAGGGCCTGTTATAAGCCACAAATTATAATGAAGAATGAACCTAAGAAAAATTTGGCCCATATTGTCCAATTGCTTGCTTAAAGTCTTTTTAATATTTTAAAAGGAAATGGCTCCCAGCAGGCCCGAGCATGTTCTCTGGGCTCCTCAGCTGGAGAAATAATTACCAGAAACTGCCAAGCATCCAAATCCCCCATTTCTTGTGCCTGTCAAATGGATGCCTGAATTGCCCCTGCACCATAATTTGTATTTGGACTGGCTCACAGCATTTCTCTCCCATAATTAACAGGTGGACAAGCCTGGATCATTCCCTCACCGTAATTGGCTGTTGGGCTGTTGAAGCTTCCCTTTACCATAGTCAATGGTAGGCCGTGAAACAATGGGAGTGGCAAGCCATGTCTCAGTCTCCCTTTCCAAAAATTCATAAGGCTGAGGTGGAGGTGGCTGTTCTGCACCTTCCTCTAAAGGCGCAGTAGGGGGAACTGTTTCTTTCATAAGTTTTTGGAGGTTAGTATGTACACCTTCCCATTTCTCCCCCTTTTTTAAACTAGACTGTGATGGTTGACTGTGCTGATTATCAGACTCCTGATTATTAAACTTTTTTATGTCACCCTGAAACTTCTCCTCCTCCTTCTCAGTGTGGAAGGGCTCCAGTGCTGTTTTAATTGCTGACCACACAGACCAAGTGGAGAAGGGACTATCGTGGCCCTCTTGTTGTGCTCCTTTTAAGTCTGGTCCGATCTTGTCCCAGTCTTTTACATTCATGGTTCTGTATTCCAGGAACCAAGGAGAATACTTTTCTATGAGATGGAAAAAAGATATGAGATTTTTGGTACTCATAATTACTCCTCTATGGCTCAATAACTGCTGCACCAGGCTTAAGTAATTAACAAACTTGTTTCCAGCCTGACCCATATTTTCCTGAGGTTGCCCTGGAATTCTCTGAGTGCCCCACTTACCTGTAGAGCGTGAAGGGAAAAGGTACTCGGACATCCTTTGTCAGTCATCCTGCACTTTCTACGCTCTGGTGTTCCCTCACTGGATGATTTGTAGAGATATAGGGAGCACTGTGTTGGGCACCAGATGTTGAGGAAACAAGCCCCACACCACTGGGCAGGTACCCTGTGTCCAGCAGAGACAATGGAATTAGAAAGAGGAAGATTGAGAGTTTAAAAAGCAGGTCCAGGGGACCAGAGAATTGGAGGCTTGCTCACGGACCCGAGCTCTCAACCTCCACCCAATTTATTGGTTTACAAGCTCTTTGTTCTTAGGTCAGATGGGAGAGGTAGGAAGGGATGAGGAAAATGATTAATCAGTGAAGCAGAACTCGTGAGTCATTCAATAAGATGTATAGCAGTGGTGGTTTCTGTGAATTTCCTCTTGCAAAGGCATGTGTCTAAACTATGTAAGATTTTTAACAGCCAGGAACAGTGGCTCACGCCTGTAATCCCAGCACTTTGGGAAGCAGAGGTGGGCAGATCATGAGATCAGGAGATCAAGACCACGGTGAAAACCTGTCTCTGATAAAAATACAAAAAATTAGCCAGGTGCAGTGGTGGGTGCCTGTAGTCCCAGCTACTCGGGATGCTGAGGCAGGAGAATGGTGTGAACATGGGAAGTGGAGCTTGTGGTGAGCCAAGATCACACCACTGCACTCCAGCCTGGGTGACAGAGAGAGACTCCATCACAAAAAAATAATAACAGAAATAATACAAATGACTTATCAGGACTGAAATGGGTGGGAGTGAGTTTCAGTAGAAGACAAGATGTTTGATTATACACCACTGCTTCAAGGGAGTGTTATTTCCCTGAGCAACCTGTAGCATGCCGCTGAGCTGTTATGCTCTTGAGCATAAAGACATGAAGGCAATAAGGAGACTTTTCTCCTCAGAGGCCACCCATGGCTCCCATGGGTGTCTCACACAGGGGAGAAGAACTCATCTGGCATCCCAGCAACTCTCTTTCCCACAGAGAAAGGAGTGAAACAAGCTGCCTTGTTCTGGAGTCCTAGCAATGTTCAATGATTTCTGTCAGAGAACCCAAAAGCCTCCTGCAAAGTGCAAACAACCTCAGCCCCCATAAGGAGACCAATACCCACAACCTGGGTTGCAGCCAGCCTACCCAAAGTCCCTTGTCCTTCCTGAAATCCCTGGAGGCCAATAAATCTGTGGTGAGAGGCAGCCCAACTCAGCAAAAGCCCAGTGAAAGACGCTTTCCACAATGAGGAAGGACATGGAGATGGAATGAAACAGAGTCTAGATTACCAGGCAAAAGCCAGAAATGGCTGCCTACTTCTCCACCTACAGGAATCATGCAGCCCTCTTGTAAAAGCTGGAGAGCAAGAGTCTCCTTGTTGGTGGCTGTAACAGGAACTTATGGTTTTAAAATTATCACAGATGCCCAGTCATTAAAACATGACACTGTTTAGAAGGAAACACTCATGCAATGGATTCTTTGAGAGTCACCTTCCATGAAGAGGGAAATGTTTAGTGAGGAAGACACTGAGCCAGACCCAGGAAACCCTAGGCTGATGAGGAACAGGTAAGTCAGAATATGAAGAGGCAAGTGTGGAGGTTACATCCTATATTGTATCAATCTCTCTCATTCCCATTTGGCTTCTGGTATGAAAGCTCTCATATGGGGGTTTGCCAGGATGGCCCCAATTGGCAATCCAAATCTCCAAATGTTCCTTGTACATTGGAATACTCCCATTGTAGCAGCATAAGCCATGGACAAAACCCTTCAGACACTGGCTTAAAGAAAGAAGTGACTTTATTCGGCTGGGAGCATCAGCCAGCTGTCTCAAAAACCAAGTTCCCCACAGAGAGATTTCTACCCTTTTTAAAGGCTTACAACTCTAAGAGGGTCCCTGTGAAGGGGTCATCATTGATTGAGCAAGCATGGGGTATGTTGCTGAGGCTGCATCTATTGGTAATCAGGATAGAAGAGAACAAAACAGTTTCACGATGCTTCCTCATACAGTGTCTGGAATCTATAGATAATACAAGCGGTTAGGTGAGGGGTTGATTTTTAACTGCCAGTCCTGGAGTGCCGTGCATGTTCTGCCTGGCAATTGAATTC